>NC_000013.11:84063209-84216050 GCF_000001405.40 Homo sapiens
GTATTTGTTCCTGATTCAATCTTGGTAGGTTGCATATGTCCAGAAATTTATCCATTTCCTATAGGTTTTCCAGTTTGTTAGTGTATAGTTGTTCATAAAAATCCTTGATAATCTTTTGTATTTGTGTTAATTGTAATATTATTTTTTCATTTTTTGATGTTGTTTATTGGATCTCCTTTTTTTATTGCTTAGCTTAGCAAGTGGTTTATTGATATTGCTTATTTTTCAAGAAATAATTTTTTTGTTGGTCTTTTCTATTGTTTTTTGGCCTCTAGTTTGTTTACTTCTGCTGATTTTTATTTTTTCATTTCTTCTACTAATCTTGGGTTTGATTGGTTCTTGCTTTTCTAGTTCTCTAAGATGCATTACTAGATTATTTATTTAAAATCTTTCTACTTTTTTGGTGTAGGCACTTGTTGCTATAAAATTCCCTCTTAGCACTGTTTTTACTGTACCTCCTAGATCTTAGTATGTTTTATTTTAATTTTTATTTCTTACAGGAAATATTTAAAACGTTATTCTTTATTTCTCCCTTGACCCAATGGTCATTGAGGACCATATTGTTTAATTTCCGTGTATATATAGTTTTCAGAGTTCCTCGTTATCAATTTATTTATTTATTTATTTTTGTGACTGAGCCTTGCTCTGTTGCCCAGGCTGGAGTGCAGTGGCGAGATCGCGGCTCACTGCAACCTCTGCCTCCCAGTTTCAAGCAATTCTCCTGCCTCAGCCTCCCAACTAGCTGGGACTACAGGCGTATGCCACCACGCCTGACTAATTTTTTATATTTTTAGTAGAGACAGGGTTTCACCGCATTAGCCAGGATGGTCTTGATCTCCTGACCTCGTGATCTGCCTGTCTCGGCCTCCCAAAGTGCTGGGATTATAGGTATGAGCCACCGTGCCCCACCTCTTCTTATCAATTTCTAGATTTATTCTGTTGTGGTCTGAGAATATACTTGCTATAGTTTTGATTTTTTAAAATTTGTTAAGAATTTTTTTGTGTTCTAACATATGGTCTATCTTGGAGAGAGTTTCATGTACTGGTGAAGAAAATGTGTATTATGTAGCTGTTGGATGAAATATTCTGTAAATGTCTGTTAGATTCATTTGTTCTATAGTGTACATTATATCTGACGTTTCTTTGTCGATTTTCTGTCTAGGTGATCTAATGCTGGAAGTGTGGTGTTGAAGTCCCCAGCTTTTATTGTATTTGTGTCTCTTTTTCCTTTAGGATTAGTAATATTGCTTTACATATCTAAGTGCACCAGTGTTGTGTGAGAATATAATTGTTATATCTTCTTGCTGGATTCCTTGATTATTTTATAATGACCTTCTTTGACCCATTTTACAGTTTTTTACTTAAGTCTATTTTATCTAAGTATAGCTACTCCTGCTTGATTTTGGTTTTAATTGGAATGGAATGCCTTTTTAATCCATGATATTTAAAAAAATTAGTCTCAATGATGTCTGCATGTCGCTCAGTGGCTTAGACTGTGGGCATTTGTGGAGTCATTGGCCTAGTTCAGTGAGCTTGGGGGCCACCAGGTAGGCCATTTCTCAGGCCCTAGGGAGATAACTGTCAGGTGAGGTAGCTCTGCTGGCTCTGGGTGCTTTGACAGTGGTGTCAGGTGCTTTGACAAAGGTGGCAAGCACTAGAGAAGCCGTCCTTGTTTGTTGTTTTTTTTTGGAGGGGTGGGGGCGGTGCAAACAGTACCTGCAATTAAAAAAAAATAAATGTTTATTTTTATATTTTGCATGTTAAAAAATGTACTTTAGAAAAATTGATATTGATTTTAAAAGAAATAAAAAGTTTTTTAAGTTACTGCTATAATAGTTTTCCCCATTTTTTATAACTTCTAGTAGCAATATTGTCTCATAAGTATTAGAATAACAACTTGATCACAGTTCATTCTTTATATACCTTTTATTACTTTTTAACTATATTGAATTTTTTTAAAAGCTTGATTCTCTTGTTACTCACATCTTAAGAAAATAATTTTTTTTGTGAGATCATTCTCTTTGGTAAAATTTTTAGACACAAATGGATTTTGCATTTTTTATATTTTAGTGAGCAATTTATTTCTTAATTTATTTCTTCTTATTTTCTGGCTACTGCATAACAGAATATTTCAGAACTTCTCACATGTATGGAGATGAGGATGATCAGTTTTTCAGCAGATGTTTGCCGTTTACTTTTACAAGGCCACAGGTAATTATACCAAAATATTATACAATCATAACCTTCAATCTGCTCTTATTGCCAAAAATTTTGAACGAGTCCTGCAAGTTGATTGTAAATTCCAGGTAGTTTAAGATGAACCTGAGGGATATTATCAAGAGCTACAAGACTTTTACATGAGAGTATTTTTTCCACTATAATAAAGCACCAAATGAAGCTTATCATAAAAAATAAAATTGCTTCTAAACTTTGAAAATTTATGTAAAAACTTGATCCTCCATCTAAACATAAAAAATTTGAAGTAAGTCTGTTTTATGTTTTTACATGGTTTCCTTCAAATCTATGTATGACAAGCAATTCTTTTACATATTTTTGGGAAAACTAATTTGTTTTGCACAAAGTTGTTTTTTGTTACATAGTACTCACTGTATATATTCCATATCAGTGTTAAATCTTAATGTCAATAAGTTTGTTAAGTTCACTGTGATATAATTACCTATTATATTTAACTTAGCCTATTATATAGAGTTTTGCACTGAAATAATTATTCATAAATAACACAATATGACATGTTGGTGTTGTTATATTCATCTTAATTTTGATTTTACTTGAAAAAATTGGTTTTTTTCTCTTTTTTTTTTTTTTGAGACAGAGTCTTGCTCTTGTCACCCAGGCTGGAGTGCAGTGGCGCTAACTCGACTCACTGCAACATCCACCTCCTGGGCTCAAGTGATTCTCCTGTCTCGGCCTCCTGAATAGCTGGGATTACAGGCGCATGCCACCATGCCCGGATAATTTTTGTATTTTTAGTAGAGATGGGGTCTCACCATGTTGGTCAGCCTGGTCTCCAACTCCTGACCTCGTGATCCACCTGCCTCGACCTCCCAAAGTGCTGGGATTACAGGCGTGAGCCACCACACCCGGCCGAAAGAATTTTTGACTAAAACATATCATCAACTTCTTAGCTTAAAAATGCAAAAAAGAAAGATAACGAAAATAGTGAAAATAATAAGAATAAAATATAATTATGACCAAAACATGGCATATTGTGTGAAGTTATTTATTTTAGCTCTTTCCTGCATTAACACTAAGTTGGTCATAGAGGAATAAGAATGTCAAGGAAAATGGATGTACAGGTGATACAAGCTGAGAAGCAGAAACTAAACTAAACTAAACTAAAGAAGGTGAAAAGTGGATGAACATCTGTTTAGATATCATCCTCAAAGAGAAAACTGGCATCTGTCCATGGATAAGAAAGCTGATTTGTTTCAAGTGCTATAGGCAAATCCAGAATTGGAGAAAGGAGGAATTTCTTAAAATGGGAGTAAGGCATGGGACTAAAAATGCAAGAATATTAAAAAATATGAAGAAGAAGAACTTAAAACTCAGTTTGCAATTCCCATCAGGGAAACCAGTTGATTACATCTCTCTACAAAGTGAACAGAAAAATTAATCTATGAAAAAATTAACCAAAGGATGTCGAGATATGGGATTACCAGAAAATGATCTCGCATTAAAAGCAAGGGCAATAAGAATAACTTAAATTACTGAAAAAAATAGTGGCAAACTCTGTTATATAGATAAGCTCCAAGACCAAGAACACAGGGACATACTCCTCTCATCCTCCCTAAATCAGGAGAATGAGATACTCTTCTCTGAATAAACTGCATAATCCTAAACAAAAGTCGGGCTATGCTGTTTGGGGGTTATTTCCATGAAAAGGATGGATTGCTATCCAATCTCTCACTTGAAACAGAGATCCCATGCTGTTTAAATGCCTTACTCTTTTTTATCATACATATTTATGGGGTACAATGTGATGTTTTAATGTATGTGTACACTGAAAAATAAGACCTGAATAGACATTTCTCAAAATATATATTTATATAGCCAACAAGTACAATGACTGACTCTTAAATATGACATCAAATTGTGATCCACACTTTGAAGAAAGACTTTTGCATCAATGAGAGAAAACAAAACCAAGAAACTTAAAAAAGGAATTTAAAGAAACAGGCAATGCAGAGATTAGAAGGAAATTTAACTCAATATAGCTAATGTCCTCAGAAATACCACAAAGTTTATTAAGTCCATAAAATAAGAACATGTTTTAAAAGGGCACATTTCTTAAATAAGAAATACACTTGGAAATAAAAAAAATTGAATGACAGAATACTCATTTTAGGTAAAACTGAGGATTGCTCTAGTGAGTGGAACAAAAAGACAGTGATTAAAAAGTAACAAAAAATATATGAGAAATTTGTAGGCTAAATCTAAGTTGAATACCCAAACTTTCAGAAAGAGAAAACTGAAAAAGGAATAACTGGGCTAGTTATTAGATGGATGAAACAATGTGATTTCAGAACTAAAAGCAAGAACATTTTCTAGTTCACGTAGTGCATCTGTTTTTTATGACATTTAATGAGAGTTCTCACATGAAGCACATCAATTTAAAATTTCAGAACACTAGGATTACACAGATAAATCTGCTTAAAATGTTCTCCCATGCTCTCTGTATCACCCATTGCAGGATTGAATAAAAAAACTAACCTCAGGCCAGGTACCGTGGCTCATGCCTGTAATCCCAGCACATTGGGAGGCCGAGGTGGCTGGATCGCTTGAGGTCAGGAGTCTGAGACCAGCCTGGCCAACACGGCGAAACCCCATCTCTACTAAAAATACAAAAAATTAGCCGGGCATGGTGGCGGGGGCCTGTAATCCCAGCTACTTGGGAGGCTGAGACAGGAGAGTTGCTTGAACTCAGGAGGCGGAGTTTGCAGTGAGCAGAGATCACGCCATTGCACTCCAGCCTCTCAACAAAGCGAGACTGTGTCTCAAAAAACAAACAGAAAACCTTACTTCATATCTGCCAACATTTTGGACACTAGCAGTATAGACTGCCTAAGAGCACAGGCAGAGTCTTAAGTGTGATTGATTAGCTCTGTCTAAGAAACCATCCAAATAATTTCAATCATGTCCCATTTTCTTAGCTGGTATCCAGAGCAATTCACAGCCTCTTAGGTTATCTGTCAGCATTTAGGTTCATCTACAAAATGTTCAGTGTATCCCCCAATACGAATACAGTGTCCACTTCTTCCTAACTCTGTCAACACAAACTCTTCTTTGATGTTCATTTGAACTCAAAATCTGTCATCAACAAAATCCATTAAATATTCATCATTTTTTTCAGAACTTTCCTAACTAATGCAAAAGCCTGGATGTCAGTTGAAGATACTGTGTTCTCTCCCTTTTCATCTGTGTACTGCAGAGAAGGTGAACTAGGCCCTTAAACTTTTGTTACCACTTTTATGTCACTGTTTTATCTTCTCCCTAGAAAAGCAAAGAATTTTGAAGCACCTGTTATTACCCTACATGCTTCTCCTTGACCTCCTACGTCCTACTATTCCTCAGTAATTACATATTATTTTTCCTTTTTATTTTTAATGTTTTTGATTCCTTTATTTCTTTTTAAAAATTTTTAAATTTACTTTAAGTTCTGGGATACATGTGCCAGAACATGCAGGTTTGCTACATAGGTATACATGTGCCATGGTGGTTTGCTGCACCTATCAACCCATCATCTAGATTTTAAGTCCCACATGCATTAGGTATTTGTCCTAATGCTATCACTTCCCTTGTCCTCCACCCCACCAAAAGGCCCTAGTGGGTGATGTTCCCCTCCCTGTGTTCATGTGTTGTCATTGTTCAACTCCCACTTATGTGTGAGAAGATATGGTGTTTGGCTTTCTGTTCCTGTGTTAGTTTGCTGAGAATGATGGCTTCCAGCTTCATCCATGTCCCTGCAAATTGACATGATTTCATTCGTTTTTATTGCTGCATAGTATTCCATGGTATATATATGTGCCACATTTTCTTTATCCAGTCTATCATTGTTGGGCATTTGGGTTGGTTCTACATCTTTGCTATTGTAAATATTGCTGCAATAAACATACATGTGCATGTGTCTTTATAGTAGAATGATTTATAATCCAAGTAATTACATGTTTTAATAGCCAAATCTCTGTCTTTTATCCTCTAATATTCTTGTTATTTTTATTGGTTTAAATATTTCCATGCTCTACATTTTTAATGGTCTAACCTGCCACTCCACTTCATCCATCTACTCCTAAATCTCTGGTCTTTGTCATTGTTGATAGCCATGTCAACATGCATATTTATCCATCTTCATAATCAAGTGTAAGCTAAATCCTCTATTTTAACATGTTAAACTTGGTATATAAAAAAAGAAAGCCAAAGGTTAATTTTAAACCTTCCTTCAATTATGTGAAGAGTTATTTTCCAGAATGTAATAACTAATCTTTTGAAATATCAATGGAATTGCTTAGGCATAATTTTGGAAAGACCCTTAGGAGTTGGGTAATCTATAACAACAATGAAAATGTGGATTACATCTCTGGATATTTTTAACATAGATTTTACTTACTTTAATGCACACAATTCTTTCCATTTACTGACTGCTTATTTTCTAAGAAAATATAAATTAGATATGCTATTGTTAAGATAAAGATAGGATCATCATTGCTGTTGAAGGTTAAGATAAAGAAATAATAATGAGAATATAAAACATTCTTTGCTTGAACAAATTATATGTATTGGCAACAAGTTTTAAAATCCATAACAAAGAGAGAGACAATGTTTTAGTTCATTACAAGGGACTTTCTTCATCTTCTCTAGCTACAAACATTAAGTGACCTAGAGTTAAAAATATATACATCTGAATAAAATCATTTTAAAAGAAGAATATCTGTTGTGCTAAGACACTGAACATATTCAGGAAATTGTTTCCATTAAATTATCAAATTTTGTAGCCTCTTTTGCATTACTTTCTGCATGCTTAAGCCTTGGCTTTCATGTTAATTTAACATTTATTCATTAAATTTAGAAACACAATTAAGTGTTATATTGAAAGTAAGTACTTAAGGCTTTATTCTGATGAGTGTTTTGCTTATATTTTCACTTTATGAAAACAGAGGTTGGAAGCTGAAATACCATTTCCATATAACTATAGCAACCTACACATTGTTTTAATAAAAATGCCAACATAAAGCTTTACCAAGCATCAAAAATGTTCTCAAGGAAAACATATCTTTCTATTATGTATTTGAATTGATGGCTGGCAGAGCTAAGATAACAGGTTTTGGCCATCTAAGAAGTTGATATAAATGGCTCTGTAAACTCCATATTATTTCTTCATTATTTGCTGTGATATTGTGTGAGGACATCACTTATCACGTTGTAAGTTTTAATATGTTATCTTAGGTTAAAATGAAAGCATTAGTCAACAGCTTATATGGATTTTTATTGCTTTCAATGAGTTTTGGCTTTACATCAATGTAGTACCAAAATAGCCTTATTTTATTAAATCAACATGCCAAAGATAAAATACAAAAATATGCTTTCATATAGATTTGCCCTTCCGTTAAATGAATATCTTTAATCTTATAAAGGGAGATAATTATATCATAAAAATGATAGTAAATATCCAAATTTAACTTTAGAAGGCTTAAATTAAATGAGAAATCTGCAGTTGGACATGATGTACTGTTAGATGTTGCAGTAGAGAATGGCTCAAATTCTATTACTTCTTTTAAATAAATAATACTTTCTGTCTGATAGTTAATATTGTAGTTTCATTTCCAACAGCATTGGACAACAAGTACATATATATAATGGTGACATAATTTACTTTATCAATTTAAATATGCTTTTACAAAACACGTAGTTTTTTCTGTAAGTGGAAACAAGCATTACTGAGAATGATTTGAGGCATAATTTTTCTGAAGACACATTGGTTTAGTATTTGGAAATTGGTGCTCATGTTGGCTCAAAGAGCAATCATGTCTTTGAATAGGGCCCTAACAAAGTTGACATTTATGATAAAGCAAAGAGCATATTTATCCATCTTCATAATCAAGCATAAGCTAAGAGTTGATGGGTGTGCCATATGCATGCATAAATGACGCTTTCATCCCTTGCATCTGTTCATATTAATAATTCTTAAACAGTGATTTTCATCTTAGAGTGTTACAAATGCTAACTAATTAATTAATCCCTTAAGTGTTTAATTGCATATGGGTAATTAAACACACTTTTTGCCATCAATGCTTATAGAGCAAAAATTAAAAAGAGAAATCATACTAAGCCTGATTTTCTAACCAATGGATAAAGGATGTGTCTTTCATACATTTTGGTAGAAGCAGCCTATATAGGATTTTTATTTCCAAAAATAACTTTTGCAGAAAAAGCATTTTGATAATATTAATACATGTTATGTAATTATTTCTATTTTTGAAAATTATAAACATTAGTATATTAAAGCTATTGAGAGGTATATAAAAATTGTTTATTTTGTGAAACACAGAACGTTGGAAACTTAATTGGTTGTTGAATCTCTGTTTTATAAGACCCAACCATATGCCTTGGAGTAAGTCTTGTTTGGAAATCTTTTGGAGTTGATGCAGTTTGTTTTATGATACATCTCAAGCAGGTGGAAGACTATTCGAGCCAATGTTCTTTTTTGTAATTTGGCCACGTGGTCTTCTGTATTCATAGCTTTTTCATGTGTTCTTACTTCCAAGTGGTTCTGAATATTATTGCAGATTAAATATGAGTAAACTAATATCAAAACACAGCAAAAATTGATTTCCTACTGTCACTGATCTATCAGTAATGATTCACTAGTAAATACTAAATCCTCTAATACCAGTGTTTCTAAATGAAGACACTTTCTGCATTTTTTAGTGGGAAATTTCTTCATTGTGAAAGATTTTATCCCATACACCAGGCAGTTTAACATTCTTGACCCCATTCTCAACTTCTTCCTCACTTTCACATTTGATTGTATCCTGACAATTATTTTATATTTATTAATATGTCTTGTGTTCCCAATGTGTTTATGTTTATAGGGCTTGTGTATGACTTTGGTTTTAGGAAATTTTGTGTCTTTGCCTGAATGTAATAACAAAAAGGAAATTACTACTACTCCATGAAAATGCATTATATCATCTTTCTCTCTTAAGAACAGTTTATGTAAATCATGTTAAAACAGTTTATGGGAATTAAGTTTGTTAAATATTCAAACTTACCAATGGCCTAGAGGTACCTTGAGAAGAAATCTCATGGATATTTGTGCAGTTGGTGAACATAATATTTATTCATCAAATATTTATTCATCAAATATTGAATTAATGTTACTTAGTTTTTGGATATTTTCTGGAGAACTGAGGAGACAGCTGTGATTTTCATGAGATCAATGCCCAAAGGTGTATGTAAATAAATGCCATGACTAGAAAACCTACTGCAAAACAAGGACTTCTATCAGAAACTCTGTTTTCCCTAAGGTAATCAACATTGTAGTTTTTCTTTATTTTAAACTTGTCTAGACTGTTGAATTAATGTGTACACACTATAGAATGGAAAACAAAAACTTCAAATTGATAAATGTGCATAGTAATAAAGATCTCAGCAAGATTTTTAAAATTCCACAGATATTAGCAAAATCTATATTGCCATTTATGCAACTAAACTGAGGGTGTAGTTTTTGTAGATAAGTTTAGTAGCACCTCATGGGAACATAATGAATAATTTTAATTAATTACCCAGTAGATGGTCAAGATGGAAAACGTATAGAACTCTTAGTGTAGGAACTGCAGCTTAATGAGGGTTGGTACTGCCTTCCATCAGATACATTTTTTTTAAGCTTTTTCACGCACTTTTTTTTTGTCCTACCAATGTTTATTAAGATTGACACTAAGGATAGTCTGGGGGTGTGTATTTGTTGGGATGGTTGTTTATCTATATTTATCAATGATAAAATTCTTAAATTTAGCAGTGCCCTTGAATAGCATCAGTACAAAAGTTCATGATGAATAAATCATCTATATTGTTAATGACTTTTTAGAAAATTATGGGTGTTTTTGCCTGAATGTAATAACAAGAAGAAGTGACTACTACTCCATGGAAGTGCATTATATAACCTTTCTCTTTTAAGGACAGTTTATGGAAATTAAATTTGTTAAATATTCAAATTTATCAATGGCCCAGAGGTACCTTAAGAAGAATTTTTCAATGAGATGATTGTAATTATTGGTGTCACGACACCAGGTCAATGAAATTGCTATTTTGAGAGCAAAGCCAGACTGTGAGGAGTTTGTGACAGTAAAACACGTGAAGGAATCGCTAATCTCATGATATCTCATTCAAGGAAGTAGTTAATGGTGCAAAGACCGGAGTTTTGAGAGGAAGGCTTATCTGTACTCTATGCTGTATACTGTATACTGCCTAATGTATGTATTGCCTAATGTATATGCTATTGTGTTAATCTGCTTTGTGGTACAGATATTCAACATTTTGGGAAACATTAACAAACCCAGGGTTTGTAGATATGAAGCAAGAGTATAAGGCATCAATTAAAACGCAGGTAGAAATGTGATCTGAACATATGGAGTATTTTTTAAATAAAAACATTTTAGGCAGATATGACACAGGAGAAATTTGTATTTTCTTAAGTGGAAGATCATGACACAACAATGTGGTGAATATTATTGGGAAAGGAGGGGAGTGACAGCTATTTGGTCCCAGAATTCTCAGAAAACATAGCCCATTTATATCTGATATTTTATCAGTATGTCAGGCCTGATGCAACTATCCATTATTCTGTTTTCTCATCAGTAAATCAGTAAATTGACTTATAATAATAAAACCAATTTCATAGAATTGTTGTAAAGGTTAATTGAAATAGTATATGTAAATACTTTTAAAGAATAAGGACTATACTGTCTAATTTTAAAAGGTGCTATTTCTAATATTTTTATGTTCAATTATAGGATACGATTTGAGAGGAAGTTTTTCTGTCCAAAATGTCTTTTCCTTTTTCTACAAATCTGCAGATGATGAAAATCCCAACATTGTTGACTAATTCCTTTGTGTTAAAGAACTCTTGTTGAAACTAACATTATCCATTTAGAGTTATAAGATACAAACTTATTAACTATAACTTTAGTATAAAGGCCTTTCTTAAATTTTTTCTTATTGTGATTAGAGACAATAATAAAGCAGTGCAAACCGTAGTACAATATTTTGGAAAATGTTGGTGACACACTGTCACTGGGCAGGTGGGATAAGACTATGAAAAGACAGAAATAATTATAAGAAAAACCTAAATTGTTTTACATTTTCCAAAGATGAAAATTAAGAAATTATTATTCTCCCATATGATATATATTGGAAACAGAAGTAGCAATGATCCAAAATTAAACAGATTCTTTTTTGTTTTTATACATTTTTCTCTTAATTAAGCTAGAAACAAAAAAGGATCCAATTTAAGAAAAGGAACTATGCATTTTGTGTTGCAAATAAGCTTAATCAAGGCAATATTCTCTCAAATATGCAAAGAATTGTTTATAAAAAGGGTTTACTAAAGCTTAAATAACATATGTACTAACAATGTACTAACAATTTTACCTGTGTGTTTTATAATTAGACATAAACTACTTGCATATAAGTCAACTTTATTTACAAAACTTTAAAATTGGTAAACATTTCACATTAGAATGCACCGTTCTCAGATTCTGCTGGTCTTGCTTTTGAGTTTGTAAATGTAGTATATTAAAGGTTTAGCACAATGAGAAAATCATGACATCAATGGCATTTTGTTGTCACCTTAGCAGGATGTAAGTCAGGATGAAATAAAATTAGCATCCTGAAACCTATAAAAGGTGATTTGTTTAGTAAAAGCAAAGATTAAATCCTTAATATCATTATTTGCATATTATAATACCCACAGCAAGTGACCTAGAAATGGTACAACATTTTATTGTGACATAAATTATAGGTAAAAATATTATTATATAATAAAACTCACAGAACTTTAAAATTAGGTGATATGTAGATTCTCTACATCCTAACTCGAGTGATAAAATTGTCCATAAAAATTTTCTTCTTTGCTTATCCTCTAGGAAATTACAACCTTCAGGAAAATAAAAACTTTCTCTATTTGAATTGCTGCAGACTCCCACCATTCTGCTAATTACTCTACCCTGTCCCACTCTCTGACATTTTGTCAGTTTTACTGAAGTAATTGTTATGTATGTTATTGAAAATTTAGTACTGAAAGTGTAATCTGATAAAAAATTTACATAACTGTTGATTGCAAATCAGGTCTTTGAGTAAGAGGCAGACTGGAAAATCTAAGTGGCTAAGTAGCTAAAAATAAATAAACTAAGTAGCTAAAACTAAGTAGATAAAAAAGAAGGTTTCTCAAAACTTCATTCTTAAATTAGCTCCTTAACATATGAAACAGGAAAAGTAATAGTAATTGCCTACTTGAGCATCTCTCAAAATATGCAATTTATTAGTATCATTAATAAACTGTGAAATTACAACTTTACTGTGAAGAGTTACTTCATATGTCATTCTAAAAATTGATATGCTCAAAATGTCAATTAAAGTTGTTGACACAGATTTTTATTAGATTTTTGTCAAAACCTCTTAAATTTTTAAATAATAAAGTTAATGTTTAGAATAAATTATATTGTTAAACTTTTTATTATTGCATATGTAAAAATAAAGCTGAATGAGTAATTATATTGTGATTTGATTTATGTAGCTTTATATACATTTGGTTATATATATGCATAGTAAAAGAGAGCAGAAACATGAATAATTAAAAATTCCCTTTTTTTGTATTTGGTAGTTATTTCTTTCCTAAATTTGTATGGATTAGAGGTTGAAGTGGATTGATCAGGGATTCTATTAGAGAGATAGGGTTTCATGCATTGTTCATTTGAGGCTTGTTTTTGAGAGTGAGGATAAACATAAGAGTCAGGTGTTCTATTATTACTCAAAGTGCAGGGTTCCCTGTAAAATGAATTAAGAATGAGACAAGGACTTCAGCCCAACAATAGGCCTACAAATCTTTCTTACTTGAATTGGAGATAAATAGGGGCTTACCTTAATTTTTCATCATTCTCAACCGAAAATGGAAAGTATGAGCAGTGGGAAAGGAGAACTCAGCATGCCCTCAAAGGCCAGTCCTGCCTGAACTTCTCACCTCAAGGAGAATGAAAGTGCAAGCAAGGTACCTTCATCATGTCTGAGAACAGATAGACCAGTAGTAGCAGCAGAGATCCTAAATGGAGACTGCTTACTGCTTTCATAATCAATATTTCTGGTCCCAAATTCAATGACATATTACCCAACAGATGCTGGGTACACAGAATATACCAACTACACTTCTTCCCAAGGGAAGCACTGGGTTCCAGAAAGTAAAGAGAGCTGAAACCCCCTTTATAACTAGGAATGACAGGATAAGTCTCTTAAGACTATATTTATTATTTTTTCATTTTATTTTAAATTAAAAATTGACACCCAAATAAAATGTGGAAGCATGTAAATAGTTTCTGAGGATTTTTAAAAAATAAAAAAAGAAAACAAATATATAGTCAATAATATTTTAAATAGCTTAATAAGAAAAGACCATATTCCAGTTTAGAGAGCATGTAATAACCAAGTACTTATATTTAGTGCAGAGTTTAATTGCTGTCAAATTTAAATTGCTATACTTAAACTGTATTATTTCACAGCCCATTCAGTTATCATGTAAAAGCACCACACATCAGTTCAGGTAAGCATGGTAGAGGTAAAATTAAGAGATCATTTTTAAAAATGAGGACAGACAACTGCAAGTCTGTTCATCAAAATACATTGGAGGTTTTCTCCAACAGTAACAGATAAAGGAAGCTTTGCAATCAAGACCTGGCGAACAAGAACAACATAAGAAAATGTGCTGATGTGTGATACTACAATGGAGGGACTCAGCAGAAATGAACACAGTGCTCTTCCCAGAGGATAAAAGGCTTAACCTTTTATGCTATGCAATCTTTTAAAAAGAAATATGTGAGGTAAGGCCACCATTTCTACATAGAAATAGAAAAAAGAGATTTTCCTGGGAAATTCACACACTTTTCAGGCAAAGAAACTCTGGAATCAGAAGGCACTAATGTTGAATCATTTTTCTACCAAATTACAGTTACTTTGTTGCTGTGTTGCTTTGGGCAAGTTGCCAAAATATGTTTAAAATTCATAAGGCAACTTGAAACACATGGGTTAGTTGTAGTATTCTCAAACACTGGTCTTATTTTTCATTAGCTGAGTGATATTGAATACATTATTCCCAGGTCTTATTCCTCATATTAAAATTGTGATAATGAATGAATATTCACCATACAAGTATATCTGATAAAATCTTCCAAGGATATTGTGAACATAAAATTTGATAATATATGTAAAGGATCCATATTTTTGCCTGCTTTAATAAATATTAGTTAATCTCTGTCCCTGTTAATTATAACCTCTAAGACAAAAATTTGAGAAAATACTAAATTACTCTTTTGTAGTGATTATGTCATAAATCAAAACAAAACAAAAGACCCAAGTATTGGCACATATTGCTAATGGGAGTGTAAATTTTTATAATTAGGAAAACATTATAGCAATTCCATTTCTACGTATATAGCCAAGATAAATAAAAACATGTTCACAGAAAATCTTGTATTAATACATACATGTTCACAGCAACACTATGCATATCTCAACTTGTAAACAACTCAAATACTCATCAAGTGATAAATGGATATACAAAAGAGGTATACATCTATATAACAGAATATTATTTATCCATGAAAATGAGTGAAGTATTGACATATGCTATACCATGGGTGAATCTTGAAAACATTATACCACGTGAAATAAGTGAGACACAAAAGGCAATATATTATATGATTCATTTTTTTTGTTAAATGTCCAACATAGACAAATAGACAAAACATTAATTTGTGGTTGTATTAGGCTGTTCTTACATTGCTATACCTCAGACTGAGTAATTTATAAGAAAAAACATTTAATTGGTTCACTGTGCAAGCGGTACAGGAAGCATAAAGTCAGCATCTGCTTGTAGGGAGGGCTCAAAGAACTTCCAGTCATGGCAGTGTGTGAAGGGGGAGCAGGTGTCTCACATGGAGGGAGCAGGAGTGAGAGAGAGAATAGGGAGGTGCTAAGCACTTGAAAATGACCAGATCTCATGAGAAGTTTTAACTATGCCTAGGACAGCACCAAGAGTATGGCACTGAATCATTCATGAGAAATTTGCCCCCATGATCCAACCACCTCCATCCAGACCCCACCTCCAACATTCGGGGTTATATTTCAACATGAGATTCAGGGCAGGGACACACATTGAAACTGTACCAGTCGTTATCAGGGCTTTGGCAAGAGGAGAAATAGGGAGTGATTGCTAATAGGTATGGCGTTTCCTTTGGGATAATGAACTACTCTGGAATTAATGGTGATGATTGCAAAATCTTGTGAACAGTATAAAAAATCATTGATTTGGACCTATTAAAAGGGTCAATTACCCTTATTTGTGACCATATTCTACAGAAACAAAGCTACCAGCAAATAAATAAAAAAGGCTTATATCCAAGTATTTGTCATGGCAAGCAACATAAATAACCATCGATAAGGAATGTTTGAATATAGTCTGATAAAATGATAACAAAAGTGTTAATGTGCTTACCATGTACCTGATACTGGGTTAAACACTTTGCATGTATTACATTTTTATTACTCATATCAACATTTTTGTAGATACTATTTTTTTAATTCTATAGATGAGGAAATTAAAGCATAGGAAGACAGCGATGTGCTTAAGGTGTTGGCATTGTTTGTATTCAGGAACTGAAATGATAATAATACCTATATCATAGGGTCGTTTTGATTATTAAATGAAATAATACATGAGAAGTGCTTAGAACAGATTAGAAAGTCGTAGGCCTATATGATGTTCGATTTTATCAGTCATCTTTGCTGGATGCCATGGTACCCAGACACTTGGTCAAATATTATTCCAGTTGTTTCTGTGAGGTTAATTTTTACATGAGATTAACATTTAAATTAGTAGACTTTGAATAAAGCAGATTGCTCTCCATTATATGGATGGGCCTTATTAAATTAGTTGAAGGACTTAATAGAAATAAAAAAATTGACTTTTCAGGAGGTAGAGGTAATTCTGCCAGCAGACTCAAATAGCAACTCTTCCCTGGGTTTTCAGTCGTCCAGCCTACCTTGCAGATTTTGGACTTGTGAACCTCCTCCATAGTCATATGAGTCAACTCTTTAACATTGATGTCTCTTCCACCTTCTCTCTCTCTCTGTGTGTGTGTGTATATATATATATATTTACACACATACACATATATATGTGTATTATTAAATATTACACATAATATATTATGGAACATATATTATGGAACATTATATAATACATGACATATTACATATACGTGTATATATGTGTATGTATACACCTGTGTATATATACATACGTGCATATACATATGTAGGATATATATACACAAATATATACTCTGTTCTGTTGCTCTGGAAAACCATGATGAAAACATCCTTATTAAGTTTCTTTCTAATCAAGAAGAAAAAATGTAAATCGGCAAAAATTTTTATAATAACATTTTTGTAATAAGAAATTTGGTGTTTATACATATATCTGTTTCTTATAAATAGAAAAAATGTAGAAAGATGACTATAAAGTGGAATAGTGAAAAATTACATTCAGGCATTGTATTTTGTACACATCTGTATGACCTAATTTGATTCAATAAGCATATAAAGCTTTTGTAGTTTGAAAGGAAAACTCTTTAAAATATTTAAACATTTTGAAAAAATATTTAAAAACCAACGAAGTAAACAATAAGGACAGTAAAGCATCAGAAAAATCTATGTTATGTGAATTTGGAGGCACAATTACATACAGTGGAGTTTTAACTGACAGTAAATTGCCAGGAAAGGAAGGATTTAGCTGTGTCATGTTCCAAACAGGCTAAACATAAAGACGGTGGGAAAAAAATCACTCTAAATTCTGAAGTTAGCAGGTTTTTTCCCTAAGGTTTCTATATACCATCCTGATTTTGTAAGTTATTTACATACCTTAGAAATTCCTACTGTTTACAGCTCCATCTAAACAGAAACATAGCCAGATGCCTATTTGAACTGCCTATGTGTGATAATTCAACATCCTACACATTTTTCTCCAATTAATGTTTTGGTTATTAGTTTAGCTGACATAAAACATTTATTTGGCTGAGATTTATCCAAACTCTGTGAAAGGCCCTCCTAATAAACTATGTAATATTTCTAAGAAATATAACAAATTCTTCCTTTAGGTTTTGAAGGTCTACATTTTTTTCCTTTAGCCCATATCTGAAAACTAATTCCTGGTGAAAAGTCGTACTAAAAGTCATATAGCAAATTGATAGCAAAGCCACAAATACAACCTAGTAATTCTTATTTTCAGGTCCAGACTTTAATCATTGAACCAGACGAGTTGCCACTTTCTCTGACTGATCACCCTTAGCATTTAATCCTTCTTCCAAGTTTCCCATTTATAGAGGTGACATAATTCAAAATTTCTGCATGGTTCACACGACAGACAAAGGCATGTGTGGGATTAATTTGCTGAGGATGACAAAAATTACAAAACTGAAATGGTTTGGGATATTAAACCCAAAATATGCTTGATATTTCAGAAGGGAAAACTGTTCCCCAAAATAACAAAGATGTGCAGTGTGTCATTGCAATAATCCCTTCGTCTCACTCTATCAAATGCACACAAGGGCTTGAAAATAAATGTAAGGAATTATTTACCAGAGATGCTGATGCATAAAGACATATTCAAACTCGAGAGAACACATTTCTATCAGCTTCAGTGCCAACATCCTCAAAGCTGCAAGGCTAAACATTCTACATCCTGAAATTAGCATCTTAAGCTTCATGAAATAGTGTAGAAAGTGCTATAGCCAGGATACTACAGTGCACAGCTGCCACCGGGGATTCCAGGGTGTTATGTATATTCTAAAGGGCATGGACATAGGGGATGCAGCTGCTTCTCGCCTTGATAGAAGAATAGCTGTTGCTTCTTATCCACAAGCTCAGGACCTCATATTTTTCGTCAGCTTAACAGGGGAAGCAGCATAACATGCTGCTAAAGAGCAACATGTTTCAAATTGAATGATAATTTTTTATAGGTAATTGAGGTGAGTAAAAATAGAAGCGAATTGTTTTAGTTTATTTTCTTGAATTTTTCTTCTTCACTCACGCTTCTCATTGAATAACTCAGAAAATTAAAACATTCTTCTGAATACTCACAGTAAAACAACCATGTCTGATTAAATCTCTGATGCATTGAAGTTAGAAGAGACCCAATATCAAATCTAGATTAACCAGCATCTTACTTATTTTAGATAGAGCTTCATCGTGTTGTGTGTTTGGAGGCATGTGGATGTGTGCTTTCCTTTTTTCTCTGCTAGGATCTTGTCTATAAGCTGAAACTTACCTAAGGCAATAGCAGACTCTTAAGTGCAGGTACTTCTCATAGACATTGGAAGTAGCCCACTTGGATACATATCTTCTGAAAGTTGATTGTTACCTTTCAGATGGCCTCACTCTTGTAACAGACCTGTACAAAAGACACTTTGGAATCAGTCTTTGCAGTCTGCCTTGTGAAAGAGATGTTGTTTACCTGGTTTGTCCGAAGTGGGTAGCATAATCATACCTGTAGTAGAACCCATGCTGTCCGTAGTTATTAATAATATCTGAAAGTTTTCTATTATAAACACCTTAAAAATTAATCATTGAAATCACTTTGAGAAACATATAGACATCTATAACCAAATATAGAAATTACTTAAATCATTTTTTTCGAATATTCTGCAAATTTTCACTCAAGGATTTCCTGAAACTCAGCCAAATATATCATTTCATCTTTGAGAAAAGTCTCTGAGACTATCTTAATCAATCATTTCCTTTTTTTGAATCCTAGCTCATCATATGAAGCTACACATAGAAGTCTCATGCTGTTTCAAATACCATGTTTCTGCATTTAAATGGTCATTTTCATATTTGTTTTTTGTTTTGATTTTAGTTTTCATTCCTTGAACACTGTGTTTCAGGTCTGACTGTCCATCCTTTACATGATATTTAACAAGATTGTGTCCTAAGAGAGCATAATTTCTAGAGCTTGAAGGGAGAAATCAAGAGTTCTGTTATAAGCACAATCCATTTGTGATGCTGTTACCTACCGAAGCCATGTAGCAAATTGGACAGTTTGATAAATGAATGTGAAGCTCAAGGGAATGGTTAGTTCTGACAAATAAACATCAGAGTCAATCTGTGGAGTTTCTAAAATTAAACGTAGAAAGCATAGGGGCCAGCAAAGGGAATGACATTGGGAGGCAAGAGTGTAATGGTGTCCCTTACACGAAGTGAAGTAAGTATTATAAGAAGAAAGGAGTCATTAGTAATGTCAAATACTGCTGAGAGTCTAATCAATTGAGAGCTTAGAATTCGCCACTGGCTTTGGCTTAGTGAAGTTGTTATGAACTTGGAAAGGACAATTTCTTTGGAGAAGTAGAAATGAAAACCTAATTATCGTGATTGAAGGAATGCATCAAACAAGAAAATGAAAAGCAGTATGGGCAAATATTTCACTCAGTTTTGCAATAAAGGGAATAAAGAAATGGAAAGATAAGTGAAGATCTTCTTATGAGCAATACTTTTACTATTTTTTGAAAAATCATTGAATGGTATTATAAAGAATAACTAGCAAAAATGGGTATAATAAATTTTCTGCTCTCAGAGAACTTTATATGCAATATCATTTGCATCATTTATATTAATGTCACATAAAAAGATGATTAGTTTCAATAGATCTTAATTTGAAATTTTGCTTCTGTTGGTCCTCTACAATTTTTGGTTATCTTTGATTATTTTGCAGTTAATGTGGAAAATGAAGAAAAGCAACTAACCCTGAAACTTTGAACAATATGTTATATTTAAAATCTATTTTTATTTTAAAACAAATCATTCAAATACATAGAGGGTTATAATTATATTTGTATAGTAACACATGTCCTATAGTTCTTCATAGTGACACGAATTCCCTTCTATCACCCATTATAGTTGTGAGGTATGATAGTGTCTTGATATTATATTATAGTTTTCTATTGCAGAAAAAAATCCTCAGGAAATAAAGGAGGTTGGTTGCAACTCTTAAACCCCTTAGTAGACATATTAAAAGAATAATGCAGTGGAAATTACGCATGTGAATGGCCTTCCTTTATTTCCATAAAAGTATTTCTTTACAATTTATTTTATTTCTTCATAATGATGTTGCTATTGCTTTTAAACAGAATATAAAGCCTTTCATAATTTTGTTCACACAATTTTGTTTACATACGTTTTCTCTATATTATTTCATGTAAATTTATCAGTATGGATGCCTCATTAGTAATATATATTTGTACTCATAAAATGAAGTACAAACTTTAAATCTTTAACATCACCCTATCTCCAATCTACCAGAGCAACAAAGAAAAATGTGCTGCCTTCCTTGTGATAATAGTAACATTGATCATTGCATCTTTCACATGAGACCTCAGCTTTCTTTGACAAGTTCATTCCTGAAGCATTTTTTTCTATAAAGTTAATAATTACTTTTTATAGACCTCCACGTAGTATTTCAAGGCAAAGCATCCACTAAGTTATATTAGATATAAATTTGCCACTGTATGTTTTCTGAGTGATTTCTCAGAAATCTTGAACTTGCCATGCAAGAAAGATTTTTCACTCCACTAATCCTTCAAGCATTTTCTTTGGCTGCTTTCTGTGATGTTACATTGGATGAAGAAAGCATAACCCCTGGATTAATAATATAATTACCACTTAGGAACTTGTTAGACACGCAAATTGTTTTGTTTCACTCCAGACATAATGAATCAGAATTAGGAGACAGGCTTAGAAGTTTGTAGTTTAAAAAGCCTTCAGATCATTCTGATGTTAGCTAAATTTTGAGATCCTTTGCACAAGGAGAAATCATAATATAATTACACTGATTTTCTGTTATAATTATTTAAAAGCTGTTTTTAAAGAGTTGAGTAGCACTAAGGTGCACTTTTCCTCTATTTCTGTATGAAACTTTCATAGCTTATCTCAGTGGAGAAATTGTTTCAAGGTTATATAGAGGTTAAAGTAATTAAACGTGTTGATCTAATTACCTTTATGTAAATTCAAACTAATTTCTTATTCTGTTGATATTTTTGACTTTGTAAATTTAGACATGGTACATTTTTTCCCTTTTTAATCATATATTCATATTGCAGATTTTCCTTTTATTTAACTTAAATGATTTTTGTAAATCTTTGAATGATACAGTGAAATTTGCTACTTTTTTTGTCTTTTGCTCAACTATTTTCTTTGTCATCCACTGAAAATTGGAGAGGATCTCCAGACTCAAAGCCTAAAAAAAATTCTATGATCTTCCTTCTTGTAAGCTTATAAAGTTTATACACTAATCATGGATGTATGAGGACTTAACAGTTCAAGTGCAAGTCCATGTCTGTCATCCTTTCCGGTGCAAGTCTCATAGCATGCTTAAAAATTTTACTCTGAAAACACTGGTGGGCAAAAAAATACGGTTTGGCACCTATCTAACGGCAGGTAACAAAAATGGAAGAAAAAACATTTTCTTAAATTACAGAGGCCTTTCTTTACAGAAGGTTCCTAAAAACAGAGTTTAGTCTTTGCGTATTCAGTATTTCAATAAGACAGTACTTACTGTGTCCGGAATTGGTGGATTCTTGGTCTCACTAACTTCAAGAATGAAGCCGCAGACCCTTGCGGTGAGTGTTATAGTTCTTAAAGGCGGCGTGTCTGGAGTTTGTTCCTTCTGATGTTGGCATGTGTTCGGAGTTTCTTCCTTCTGGTGGGTTCCTGGTCTCACTGGCTTCAGGAGTGAAGCTGCAGACCTTCGCTGGGAGTGTGACAGCTTTTTTTTTTTTTTTTTTTTGAGACGGAGTCTTGCTCTGTCGCCCAGGCTGGAGTGCAGTGGCGCAATCTCGGCTCACTGCCAGCGCCGCCTCCCGGGTTCACGCAATTCTGCCTCAGCCTTCCAAGTAGTTGGGACTACAGGTGCCTGCCAACACGCCTGGCTAATTTTTTGTATTTTTAGTAGAGACGGGGTTTCACCATGTTAGCCAGGATGATCTCAATCTCCTGACCTCGTGATCCACCCGCCTCGGCCTCCCGAAGTGCTAGGATTACAGGCGTGAGCCACCACGCCTGGCCAGTGTTACAACGCTTAAGGCGGGGCATCTGGAGTTGTTTGTTCCTCCTGGGGGGTTCCTGGTCTCACTGGCCTCGGGAGAAAAGCTGCAGACCTTCACAGTGAGAGTTACAGCTTATAAAGGCAGTGTGGACCCAAAGAGGGAGCAGCAACAAGATTTATTGCAAAGAGGGAAAGAACACAACTTCCACAGTGGGGAAGAGGATCCCAGAGGGTTGCCACTGCTGGTTCCTGCAGCCTGCTTTTATTCTCTTATCTGGCCCCACCCACATCCTGCTGATTGGTCCATTGTACTGAGAGCCGATTGGTCTGTTTTACAGAGAGCTGATTGGTCCGTTTTGACAGGGTGCTGATTGGTACGTTTACGATCCCTGAGCTAGACACAAAAGTTCTCCACATCCCCACTAGATTAGCTAGATACAGAGTGTGGATTGGTGTATTTACAAACCCTGAGCTAGACACAAGGTGCTGATTGGTGTGTTTATGAACCTTGCGCTAGAGACAGAGTGCTGATTGGTGTATTTACAATCCCTTAGCTAGACATGAAGATTCTCCAAGTCCCCACCAGAGTAACTAGATACAGAGTGCCGATTGGTGTATTCACAAACCCTGAGCTAGACACAGGGTGCTGACTGGTGTGTTTACAAACCTTGTGCTAGATACAGAGTGCTGATTGGTGCACTCACAATCCCTTAGCTAGACATAAACGTTCTCCAAGTCCCCACTAGTCAGGAACCCAGCTGGTTTCACCCAGTGGATCTCGTACCAGGGCCTCAGGTGGAGCTGCCTGCCAGTCCCGCGCTGTGCATCCGCACTCCTCAGCCCTTGAGCGGTGGATGGGACTGGGCGCCCTGGAGCAGGGGGCGGCGCTCGTCCCAGAGGCTCGCGCAACGCAGGAGCCCACCGGCGGGGGTGGGGAGGCTCAGGCATGGCGGACTGCAGGTCCCGAGCCCTGCCCCGCGGGGAGGCAGCTAAGGCCCAGCGAGAAATCGAGCACAGCAGCTGCTGGGCCAGGTGCTAAGCCCCTCACTGCGCGGGGCTTGCGCGCCCACCGGCCGGCCGCTCCGAGTGCGGGGCCTGCCGAGGCCACGCCCACCCGGAACTCGCGCTGGCCCGCAAGCGCCGCGCGCAGCCCTGGTTCCCGCCCGTGCCTCTTCCTCCACACTTTCCCGCAAGCTGAGGGAGCCGGCTCCCGCCTTGGCCAGCCCGGAAAGGGGCTCCCACGGTGCAGCGGTGGGCTGAAGGGCTCCTCAAGCACGGCCAGAGTGGGCGCCAAGGCCGAGGAGGCCCCGAGAGCGAGCGAGGGCTGCCAGTATGCTGTCACCTCTCATTATTATTTGCCGATGGGAGTGGAGAAGGAGACTTGGTGATAACAGGACTGAAAACCTTGTGTAGGTGAGTAAGCTTAATGCACTAGTCAAGAGATATTACCAAAATGAAGCATCACAAAAGAGAAGTTAAATTAATATTAGTAAGATTCATAGACAGTAATGTGGTTGAGAAAACTTGTATGTGCCCAAATGAGAAATATCCTCTGGCAGTTTGCAGAAATAATTTGGACATATTTTCTGGAGTTCCTTTTATAGAAACTGAGTGATTACTAAGGAAAAATTCATTTCAAATAGGACAGTATCATTTTTATGCCCAGGCTGATATGGTCCACATAGAGGAAATTTATGTAAACGTACAAAGAGTCACCAGACATCGTTCAACTGGAGTTAGATTGTATTGTATTGTATTGTATTGTATTGTATTGTATTGTATTGTATTGTATTGTATTGTCTCCTGGACAATACTGGACAACTTTCTCTGATAACAGTTGATATAGTATGCATGTGTATCCCCACTCAAATCTAATGTTGAATTGTAATCCCCGGTATTGGAGGTGGGGATAGGTGAGGGTTTACAGGATCAGGAGAGTGGGCTTCTCATGAATATTTTAGCAACATCTCCTTGATACTGTCTTCACAATAGTGAGTTCTCATGAGATCTGGTTATTTAAAAGTGTGTAGCACCTCTCTTCTCTCTCTTTCTCCTGCTTTCGTCATGTGATGTACTTGATCGTGCTTTACCTCTCACCATGAGTAAAAGCTCCATGAGGTCTCCTCAGGAAGATACTGTGCTGTGCTTTCTGTACAGCCGGCAGAACCGTGAGCTGACTAAACCTCTTTTCTTTAAAAATTACCCAGTCTGTTATTTCTTTATAGCAGTGTGAGAATGGAATAATACAACAATGATACAACTAAACTGAAATGCAATCTTTGAAGAATTGTCCAGCTATGGCTTGATAGTTTGTCTTCCTGTATTAAATGTAGTATGTTCTCATTGATTATTACTTTTCAATTATCTGCCTTTTCTTGTTTTCAAGTGTAATATCTACTTTTATCATTTTATATATTTGATACCAAATTATCTATTTAGTGACGAGGTTATTTGGAGCTTGGCTCATGACCTTGGATTTTCAGGGCCTGTAGAAGGTGAGAGTACCTGTTTCCTACAGTTAAGTGTTTAAGAGAAGCAAGCGCCTCAAGAAGGATATTAAGATTCAAATATGAAATATCATACTTTTCTTTTAAAGCAGTGGTAACTGAGGAAGCTATGAGATTAAAATTAAGGATCTGAAAGCTCCAATGACTACAGCAGATAAAAGAAGGAGTTGTGAGATTGGAAAAGATGTGCAGGAATGTGGTCTGTAAATGCCAGAAACAGGACACTTTTGACTCTGAAGAGCTATTGTTTCTTCCTAACAGTAACATTGAAGAAGACCTCAAATGTGAGAAAATCGACATCTTTTAGGCCTTTTTATTAGTAGTTTGCTTAATTTTAGAATCAAAACTTCTTTTTTGTGTAATTATTTTGTGAGAATTTTCATCATAGCACTCAGGTACACATTTAATAACTTTAGTCACACATATTTAATCCAGTAAGATTTATTAAGTGAAAATATGTCAATAGTATGATAGTATTGTAGAAAGTTGTCCTATGTCTTTAAATTAGGTCATATATTTTCATAGAGTATCTAATACCCAACACTAACTATGAGTATAGCAGAATTTTTTTACAGATGCTCTCTCTATATCTACATCTATATCGAATCTATATCTATATCTATATATCTTTACCACGTCTTGTAACTGTCATAAACCACATCAGCATGAGACAACAGTGTTATGTTTTGGGTATTTCAAAAGGTTTTACTGAAACCTGGTGCCTCCTGGAAACTGCAGCCTCATATGCTTGCTTTACATACTTGTATTTTGTTCCTAATTGTATTAATATGTATGCTAAAATGCCTTCCTTCTCTTTCCACACTTCATGATTTGGTGCCAGGTAAAGTGTATTTCATAAAATGAATGATGAGAATATGCCTACCAAGGACAACAGTGTCATTGAAAAAATATAGTAGTACATATTATATTTTACTCTGTTTATTTTGTATGTCAAAGAGTAATTATGTGAGATGTTTAATTGTAATTCCAAATAACAGCCATATATCCATAAGTCAGATAGGGGTGACTAAAAATCTCGTTAACTAATCCATTACATTAGCTAGTTATCATTAACCCAATAGCTTACAGAATGCTGACAAAGCTTAATGCCAAGTAGTTGTCATAGAAATCAACTCAATGAACCAATTCATTTTTAAGCTATAGACAAAATGTTGATTTCAAAACTTAGCTCATTGGATCCACTTCTGTAAAAGTTAGAAGCTACCTGACATCATATAACTTAGTAGATGTATATGATGTTTCAAAGGAAAAATATTGATAATAACCTTAATAAATGATCATGAGTTTGTAATGAAGAAGAAATATCTTTGTTTTCCTACATAACAGAAAACATATTCCTAAAAATATCACAGGCTTAAAATTTCGCTAACATTCTGGGAAAAATAGGCAGATTCAGAAGAAAAGTCAAAATATCTACACAGAATATCTCTAAAGCAGCAAAACCCTTCCTAAAAAGAAAACAGCAATCGTGGTATTTCACAAATATATACTCCAGGGCATATTCCACATCTAACCATATTTTGCCTCTAATCTTCACTCTTAGCATCTGAAATAATTCCTTGTGAAGGTATCTTTTTTTTCTGAGATATCGCAAGCTTCTTTTTCCAAATGAAAAAAGGACTAATTGGCATGGTTTCTATCCCAAGTATCATCTTTGTCCTACTGAATTCTCTTTGCTTTTTACCCACTTCCTAACTCCAAATGACATTTATAATTCACTTTTATTTATTTTATGAAGGCAATAACTAATATGCTATCATGAAACTTAATTGAATAAACAGAGATTATAGCAAGTTAATATTCATATAGGCCATGAATTAGAAAACCTGAGTCTTAATCCCAATGTAGCTACCATTTATCTATACAAGTTTTTTTGAGCTGTGTAAACTCTGACATTAATTTCTTGATATTCAAAACAAACAATACATGTCCAAGATAGCTTCCAATCCTTGTAGTTATTGAACTATCAAATAATTGTATATGAAAATAATGTATCTTTTCTTTTTTGAGATATTCTTGACAGTTAACATCCTAAAAACTACTGCATTTCAAGCATAAGTCCTCTTTGAAAACAATTAGTGTATTTGTCTGTTTTTTAAAAATCTTTGAGAATAGTGATGACTGAAACAAAAGGATTTGTTTTATATATGAACCTGGAACTTTGAGAAAACCCATCTGGGTTGTGTAAGTTGGTTTGAGATTTGTGTTGTTGTTTTCACCAATAAGTGTCAGGATAAATAGGTGACAAAACATAAGTAATTCCCTCCCTCCTAAGCTGCTTCTCAAGTGATCTAAAGTTGGGAATTTTTTTTTCTTCTCTCTGTAATAGCTAATGGATTTCATGGTTATCGTAAGAAATTGTTAGAATTTCTTTTTAAGATTCATATTCATTTTTCATTTATTCAGATATATTGAATACTTAAAACATTTATGTTTCAATTGTTTAAGATACCAAAGATAATAAATTGAATGTATTTTTAATCAAGTAGAGTTGGTGACACAGCAATTCAATTCTGTACAATGGTAAAAACCATTACCTCAGCTATAATTGAAATCGTCAGTGATTTTTATTTTTAATTTGTATAGTAAATTGAGAGTTCAAGACTTAAATTGAATTCTTAGATATCTAACCAATCTGATCTACTAAGACACAGTACTTAATATTACATATCTGTATTAGTCCATTCCCACATAGCTGTAAGGACAAACCTGAGACTGGGTAATTTATAAAAGAAAGAGGTTTAATAGACTCACAGTTCTGCAGAACTAGGTGGCCTCAGGAAACTTACAATCATGGTGGAAAGAGAAGAATGAGAACCGAGCTAAGGGGGAAGGCCTTATAAAACCATCAGATCTTGTGAGAACGAACTTACTATCATGAGAATTGCATGGGGGAAACCGCCCCCATGACTTAATTATCTCTCACTGAGTTCCTCCCATGACACATGGGGATTATGGGAACTACATACAATTCAGTTTGAGATTTGGATGGGGACACAGCCAAGCCCTATCAGTATTTTTTGTGTCTTCAGTGACAATTATGATTGGAAGCTGTCTTGGACATTAAAAAATAAGTTATTCCTGAAAGTTCTCAGAAATTTAATGGCATTATTTAGCAATATGATTCCCAATTATTTCAAATCACTTAACCACACTATTGTATTCTTCAGAAATGCCATTCATATAAAATGCAATCATTTCAGTTATCGGTACCTTCTTTTTTTAATCTGATGGCATTCTCTTTTCTAAACTAATATTTATGGAACATTTGCTCATAGTCTCAAAACAGGAGTAAATACTAAATAAAAATAATTCTACTTTGTTCAGTCCATTCATTCAATCATCTATTCATTTATTCAAACTTTCTTTTCTTTTTTTTTTTTTTTTTTTTTTTTTTTGAGACGGAGTCTCGCTCTGTCGCCCAGGCTGGAGTGCAGTGGCGGGATCTCGGCTCACTGCAAGCTCCGCCTCCTGGGTTCACGCCATTCTCCTGCCTCAGCCTCCCAAGTAGCTGGGACTACAGGCGCCCGCCACTACGCCCGGCTAATTTTTTGTATTTTTAGTAGAGACGGGGTTTCACCGTTTTAGCCGGGATGGTCTCGATCTCCTGACCTCGTGATCCGCCTGCCTCGGCCTCCCAAAGTGCTGGGATTACAGGCGTGAGCCACCGCGCCCGGCCTCAAACTTTCTTTTCATTTCACAAACATTTAATATGCGGTGCCTCAATGCTAGGAATTGTTCTAAGTGAATAAAATACATCCCTGCATCCATCATGCACTGATAACTGGAAGCTTTAGGCTCAGCGGCTCTCAGTTCTCAAGTCAGCGATGACTGATTCCCACAAGAAGATGATATCCGATATCCATTATTGTTATAGACCTTGTAGTGATTGTGCCTGGGGATAGATCCAAACACCTGTGAATATATTAGGCCAAAGAGGTTCCATTAACACTTTATCTTTTCAACTTTACATTAGTGGATGTTTTTCCCAGTTATATATTCAGCATTCAGCAATTCCAATTATTACTGGAGTAATAATGTGTTCATCAAATCCTAGTGTCCTGTGTAGCTGAGCAATCTAATAGCTCCTTCCCAATTGCTTTTAGTAATGTATATTGATGGAATGAATGATAGAGAGACCCACAGTTCTGTCATTCCAAAATATTCCCAAGCTATTTATGAATACCCGCTTGTATGTACTCCTAATCCTCTGGGTCAGAATTCCTGAATGTTGCCATCAGTTGAAAGTTAATTCCTTTTTCGTTTGGCCTTTGACTTTAACATTGAGTAGACAACCATATAGCTTGTGTGCTAGTTCTTGTTTTCCACTTCTGATCTCAGCTTATGTTGTCTAAACTTCTTCTCTTGCCTATTATGAGTTCTTAGCTGAGATAAGCTATAAAGAAAAATATGTTCAGAATATTTATATTTAGGAAAAGGCTCTGATTCTGAACCTAGATCTTATAGTTAATAAAGCTCAATTAAAACTTGATTTGTATCAGATTGACCAATTTTAACCAGATTATATATGCAGTTTACTAGATGTCTGAGATCTTTGCTCATTTAATCTATATATAGGTACATAATTTGTCATCACTAAAATACACTCTTTGCAAAGAGTTTCTGTGGGAACAAAAAATAACAAATATGATATTTCTGAAATAGCTTTTGCACTAAGAATGCTGTTTTGTCCATGTTGCTTACTTCTCTAGGGTTATAGAATGGCTACTTAATTTTTATTAATACATTTGACTAGTCATACTTTAGTATTGCTTCCCTTAATATAGTTTCTATACCTTAAAAGAGAAAGTCTTCTAAGACATTAATTTGGTGAGGGCAAGTTTGCCTAAAAAAGCACTTTTTCCTAAAGGAAATCAGTATATTGAAGCAATATCTGTACTCCCATGTACATTGCAGCACTATTCACAATAACCAAGATATGGAATCAACCTAAGTGTCCATTAACAAATGAATGGATAAAGAAAATGTGGTACACATACACAATGAAATATTATTCATCCAAAAAATAATAAAATTCTGCCATTTGCAGCAAGATAGATGAAACTAGAGGTTAAGTAAAATGAGCTAGGCAATGAAATATAATATGTTCTCATTCATATGTAGGAGCTAAAACAAAATTATCCCATGGGGGCAGAGAGTAGAATGGTGGTTACCAGAACCAGGGAAGGGAAGAGGGTGGTGGGCATTGAGGAGAGACTGGTTAATAGGTTCAAAAATGCAAATAGATAGAAGTTCTAGTGTTCAATAGCATACTAGGACAATTATCGTTAATAAGAATTTATTATATATTTTGAAATAGAAGGGAATATTTGAAATGTTTCCAACACAAATAAATGATGTGGATATCCCAATTATTCCTTATTTGATAATTATGTATTGTATGCATGTATTTAAAAACCTCATATGCCTTATAAATATACAACTATTATATAGCAATAACAAGTACTTGAATAGAAAAAGTCCCTGAATAGAGTAATTAGCAAAAATAAATTTACAGCTATAGAACACAGAATCTTCACTCACAATGTGTATACAGTTCAGAAATGACAGGTAGGCTTGAAAAGATAAATTAGGGTCAGGTTTTAAAATGCCTTGTATTTGAATTTAATGAACTAAATTTATCCTTATAATTCTTTGTTTCAAATAGAACTTTCCCTTGATGTTACTGAATAGAAATACCACTCTGAGATTTAAATTTCATCAAATGCCTCTCAGGTTGTTTGCATATATGTTTTGCATATTGCTCCAAATCAAATGCTTGTTACACATTGGACTTAAGACATATTTTATTCTGACTTTTTCATTGGAGCTTATGGCTTCCTCAGTGAAGGATGTATTCACTTTTAAGCTTCTGAAGCCCTATCCTCACATCTTTTCTTATATAGCCAAAGAGATAGAAAAGAATAGAGCTTTTGTATTTTACTCATATCCACAACTACAATTTTTCAACTATTAACCTCTGCAGCAACCAGTTTATCACTTACTCGGTTTTGAAACTGACATAAGATTAGCTTCCTTGATAACCAGATCAGAATGTTATTTCCAAGTGTTTACTAATGTACTATATTGTTTTTTCCATGAAAAACTGTCCCATATGTTGCTTCTAAAGAGAACTGTTGCATTGTCACAAAAAGTTGGGAGGCAACCTAATATGAACACTTTCATGTCTGTGTCACTTTATATTTTATGAAGTGTATTTTAAAGGCATTATGCCAATTAACGTTCACCTAACAACATAAAGGAGTAGATCTTACTGCCATTTTGTAATTTAGAAAAATGAGTCCGAATGAAATTAGCTTATATACTTATGGTCACTCATAGCTTTATGTATTCATTCATTAGAATTTAGAGATATAAAAGAGCTGAATAAATCAAATTAACTATAAAATTTAAATCGATTCAAGTTTGTTTACACATTAATATGTTTCATTTCTTTATATTATCTGTAGGTGTCTTTCAAGTTAGAAGTAATTTGCTTATTTGCTTATTTCTTACCTTCTACTAAAATTTATATTTTTGTTGCATTCTTGGCTGATGGATTTTTTTGAATTCCTTTTTTCAGTTTCCATGCATCAGTATTTTGTACTATCCATTCTCTCCCCGCCAATCTCTGCCCCTTTCTCTCTGTGTTTGTGAGTATGTATGTGTATGTGTGCATGTTTATCAGGATGGACTTTTTGTTATCTTTATATTCACAAAGACTTTAAACAGAACAAAACAAAACAAACTCCAAATCTTCAGAGCAGCCTGGCTCAAATGTAAAATTTTGTACTTTGTTATCCCACAATTATTCTTTCATGGAGCTATATGAGAAATTTGGTGACAGTTTAATAAGGAAAAATGGCATTGTGTGCCTAATAACCGTACAAAATCCTCAAGCTTTCACTATAATGCAATTGAGAAAAGAATTGTTAAACCCCCCCACTTACCTTAGCAATGATAATGATTCAACGAAAAATTTATTTTTGAAGAAGTTACATTGAAACATTCAGTGAGTAAAATAATACATTTTATAGAAATGTTTAGAATATGAAAATTATTGTGGGGTGATGCATTATTTATAATTTAAATTTATTAGTATAAAACTTCTATATAATACCTGGCTACCTTAAAGTGTAAAAATAGATATGAACTTATTGTTATAGACTCCTGGAGGTTATTTCTGCTTAAGTAAACATACACCATATTTATACATAATGGAGATCACATTCTACTTGAAGTGTGTGTATGTGTTTGTGTTTATGTAAGTTTAGTGAAAAATATTGTTATCCACATTAGCTTCTGGCTGTTCCATATACTTAAAGAATGCATGATCATAAATAAATGCTGGTTAAAATATTATGCTGTCATATACACACATTTCATTTGGCACATGTGACATTTTAGAAAAATAAGGAAAAAACTTCTTGAAATCTTCTGTTAAGCAATATCTTTATAGCCATGATTTAAAAAATTTGAGTAGAGAAGATTGAACACTGAAATGAAAAAAGGACCTTGTAATTTACTTGTTACTTTTTTATTTGCACTTAATTTATTGAAAACAAACAAAAAAACACGTGGATTTATTTTTCCTTCTTAAAAAATTTTCAAGGTTGAGCACACAACAGACTCAAATATTCCACAACTTAAAAAAATGGATACTTGAATTCATCCTTCTGTTATCCAGATTCACTGGGTTTTGATAGTCTGCTTTTGCTAGGAAATGAAGCTGTACACTTCGGTGTGGAAACTGTTCTTCAGTATATTTGAAGACTATAATCAGCCTTTAGCTGATTATACCTCAGCCTTCAGTTCCAGGTTTTACCTCACCCTTTAGTTTCAGGTTTTAAAACAACAATGATACAGAAAAGTGCTTTCTTAATCTTTTATTTATTAAACCTATTTCACCATCTTTCAAATCCCTTAGAAACTGCCATGGATTAGCATCAAAGAGTGTAATGAAAATGTTGAAAATAAGGTACAGTCCAATCAAAGCTATGTTTTGCATTGCAAATTAAAAACATATTTTTTCTAAATGGAGATAAAGTATATGGAAAATTCCTCCAAAAAGCATAATTTATTAAATTATTTTTTGCATCTCTGAGGTTAGTGACATTGTGTAATAAACATTTTTAAGATATTCATAGTTATTCATATATTTGTTTATGTTAATTGCTATTAATAACAGCAACATAGAACTATAATGCCTCAAAAGAGTAGGATATTTCAAACCTTGTAAAACAATGCTTAATAATCTTGAACTTTTGGTTGAGAGCCAGGCACAGTGAATCATGCCTGTAGCCCCAAATACTCAGGAGGCTGAGGTGGTAGGATCGCTTGAGTCCAGGAGTTGGAGGCTGAAGGGAGCTGTGATTGCACCACTGCACTCCAATCTGGGTGATAGAGTGAGACCCTGTGTCAAAAACAGAAAAAAGAAACAGAACTTTTGGTAAGAATGTCAGAGATACAAAAACAATCCATTTAGTGTTCAAGAAATAATTCAATGACATTTTATAGAAAATAATGCAGATAAGTAAACGGTTTATCTTCATTCATTATTTAGCAAATATTATGGGGACACATTTACAGTTACGTAATGGAAGTGTTGTCTAAAATCTACTGATAAAGACAAATTAAAATAGCAATTATAAAAATTATATTAAAATTGACATTTATTTACATTGTACCTTACTAAGAGAAAACAATCATTGTTTAAAGGATTTTTTTTTATTATTTCAAAACAGTCTTCAAATAATGATAAGGTTCAAGACAAAAGTCACTTAATAAAGTTAATATATTTAATGTTGCCCACACAAATAATGCATATTTTTAAAATCATACATAAAATTTGACAAATGCATATAAAATTAAGTAACCATGTAGAATATCACATTAAATTTCTAGTTTTATAAGAATTAAGTATTTGTATCGGCAATTTCAAAAAACATTAATTTTATTAGGTGATTTTTGTCCCTGATAGCTATAGTTTTTTTGTTTGGTTCCTTTTTGGTTTTTCTTTTTGTTGATACTATTGCCAATATGTGTTATGATGTGAGAAAGAATAGGGATAAAGATGATGATAACTAATTTAAAAGGTTCTATATCAAAACAGAAATATAAATTTTCTGTAATTTAAAAATGTAGGATATAAAATTATATTTATTTTACTTTATTTTATTTTGAGACATGATCTGGCTCTATCACCCTGGCTGGAATGCAGTGGCGTGAACTTGGCTCACTGCCACCTCCGCCTCCTGGGCTCAAGTCATCCTCTCACCTCAGCCTCCCACGTATCTGGGACTACAAGCACACACAGCATACCAGGCTAACTTTTTGTATTTCTTTTTGAGATGGGGTTTCACCATGTTGCCCAGGCTCACCTTGAACTCTTGGACTCAAGCTATCTGCCTGCCTTCGCCTCCCAAAATGTTGGGATTACAGGCGTGAGCCACTGTGCATGGCCTATATTTTTAATTATACAAAAATCAGATACTATTTGTTATTATCTTAACCTTTTACTTCCTCTCCTTGAGGTAATCTTATTTATTTCTTAATATTTATTTCTGTATCTTTCTCAGTGCACATGATCACACATATATGGTTTTTTATGTGCACTTGACTGTAGAATACATATTATTTTAAATATATATAGTATATTTATCAAAACAGTAACAAAAAATAAGAGAAGTTGTTTTATGCCAAAAAAGCATTGAAAATTCTAACTAGAAATCTTGAAGTCCTGATTTTCCAGTTAAAATATCACAAAAAATATATAACAAAAATGTGAGCCAAAATAAGAAAACAACTAACTCTCTAGCACTTTTTTTGAGACAAGTAAGCTTTTAAAAATAGTGTGTTATTAGTTCACAAATCAGTTGTTTAGATTCTTCAGTGGTGTCCTATCACACTGAGAATTAAATCAATACCCAACCAAGGTTTGGCCTGAGCTGGTCCCCAGTTACCTCTCTAATCTCATTGAACTTTCTTGAGCCTACTAAGCCTTCTGCTTCTTCAGAAAGTTTTCCCTTTTATTCTCTTTATGAAACTTCCCCAGATATTTTCATGGTTGGCTTCTTCATTTTATTTGAGATTCTGCTTAAATATCACTTCCTTAGAGAAGCCGTTTCTGAATAACATGTCAAAAATTCTAGCTCCTTATTCTCTTTTCCACTGCCTTGCTTAATTTTTCTTCTTTGCATTTATTAATGCCTTAAACATATAGAAGTGTATTTTTATGTTTTGTTCCTCCACCCGGAATTTAAACCTTATACAGTTAAGGATGTGTTGTGTCTTTTTTAGGGTGGCCAAATGTTGTGGTTGGTGTGAGACGGGGGAAGGGGAGTAGGGAGGTTCTCAGGATGTGGCACTTTCAGTGCTATCACTGAGATGGCCCATGGCAAACCAGAATGTTTGATCACCCTAGTTGTTCACTGTTCCTTGCCTTTTACTTGGAATAAGGGTGGGTGGTTACATGGTAGATGCTTAATAACTATTTATTGAATCAATGAAGCAGTGAATTTAAACTTGAATTTAAATGTTAAATTCAACAATAATTTTTTAAAGTTTTGTAACAACGGAGGTGGATTTTCTGGTGTCAGCTTGGGTTTTGGATGATTGGAGAATTTTCATGGCTCCTCTGAAACCAGTACACGAAGAAAACAAACAAGTACTGGTTTCAGAGGAGCCATGAAAAAGTAGGTGGAGAGAATTTTAAGGGCTCCACAAGTATGCAAAAACTTGTGGAACCCATAAAATTCTCTCCACCTACTTTTAAGATAGCTGACTTCAATAATTTTCAGCTCATAGTTCAACATTAATTTTCCATAGAAAGCCTATATTATGGTGTTTAAGAGTTCTGATTGTATACTTTTATAGCATCTGCACTTGTCTGAATAGTCCTTTGCTCAATGCCTATCTGCCCTTTAGACTTCACATTTCATAAATTCAAAGATCATGTCTGTCTTGCTCACTGCTGATTCTTTGACATCTAACACAACCAGTACATCCTTATTTGAGTTCCCTGTAGCACATTGTTTCACAGAAAAGCAGACATTTTTCTGGTTACAAATTACTGCTATAATATGCAATATAACCTCTGTGTATGTGTGTGTATAAAATGAACACACACACACACACACACACACACACACACATATATATATATATATATATATATATATATATATGTGCCATGCATTTTGTATTCTTACACATCAGTATGATAAACACCTCTCTTCTGTGCTTGGGAAAATTTGAGTGTCTCTCTATTCCTTGCACTCAAAGAGAAGTAGCTAAAAATACAGGGTGAAGAAAAAAGACAATGTTGGGAAAAGAGCTGCAGTGGGTACCTAGGACATATCTGTGGAAATTATAATCAGGGAGAAGACTAGACTCTTAATATTTGGAAAGACTATGAGTCTTAATGAATTTATCAGAATTGCTAGCCAAACTCAAAAAAAAATTAGGTTGTGGATTTTCCAGATCGATGGAGAAAATAAATAAGACCCTATGTAGTATTCAATATATTATATCAATAAATTATTCCGTTAGATTGAAATTGTCACATACTCAGAAAAAAAATACACTTTGGAATTTGTTGTTTTATTTCTCATAGCTTTTTTTTTAAAGCAAATTATTTAAAACGTTAGCTGACTGAGCTGTAACGAAAGAAAAGATAGAAATGGTTTGCTTCTGAGTAGCAAGAGGATGGAGAAGCACCAGGAGGCCACAAGTCTCCTTTCATTCTGCAACTTTGTGGATGGCATTCTAATGGAGGAATAGAGATGGTATGAGGTGGAGGCCCTCAATAATGCCAACTGGATGCTGCAAAGACAATCTTTCTTCATTAGAAACTGCTTTCACTGTGCATATGTGTTTAAAACCGACCGACCTTCTTTTTCCCTGCAACCTGTCTTCCCTCTCCTTTATTGGCTGGCTGAAAACACAAATAATTTCTGCACTTCTCCTGATTAACCTGGACTCACTCTGATCGCTTTTCTCATTTACTACACCTCAAAACTTGCACTGTGATTGTGCAGTTTTAATTTGCTCTCATTTATCTGTTGCTTTTTAAAGGTGGCAAAATATTTTAAATCTCCCACTCAATTGTCAACTCTTTGAAGACAGGTATCCTAGATTTTATTGCTTTTACACCCTCCCCCAGAACTTAGTAGAATGTTCTGGCCATGTGAGCAATGAAGAATTAAACTAAGGCAGCCTGAGAGTCTCAGCTTTTCACTAAAGTTGTGTTACTCTGAAAAAGATATCCACGTTTTGAAATGTGCTAAACAACACAAAGGCATTTGTTTTACAAAGCCATGTTTTCAAAATTATAACTAAATTTAGAATTTATGAATTATACTTTATTTTGGTACATAATAGGCACTCAAATTCTTTCGGAGTTTTTAATGTATAACTTACATACAATAAAATGTATTCATTTAAAGTGTACAGTCTGATGAGTTTTGACAAATGTATATACTTGTTTACCCTCCACTCCAGTCTAGACACAGAATAGTTCCATTGCCCCAAAACATTCTCTCCTGCTCTCTGTCAGTATTCCCCAACGACTGGATGAGACAACAACTAATATGATTTCTATTAAAGGAAAATTAATTCGTCTTAAACAGAATCTATGTGAGTTTCGTATCGAGGACACAGTTCAATTTGCTAATGGGGCTGTAATTTGAGAAGCAAAAAAAGAGTTAAGAATCATGATAACTTTTCAGAAGAACCTAGGGAAGAAGTGAAAGCGTCCCCAACCCTGAACGTTTTATTTTTTTCAAAGGTATTCAATTAATTATTTGGTGTACCCCCTAAACTTGGTTATGGCAAATTGGCCTTTTGTGTATGCTATGGAAAAATAATAATACTGAGTAGCAATAATGAAAGAGTATGTTTTTCATTTGATTAAAAATTTATACATAATTGATATATTAATATATTATTGATTTGAACCACAAGAACAATTAATTTATAAACCCTTTGTAATTATTCATTTTCACTTTAGTTCATCAAGAAATTTGGAAGTACATTAACATGAATTAAAACTTATTCTCCATACTAGGTAGTAGTAAGTAAGTTTGTCTTTACTTCTCTCTCTTCCTAATTTAGGGGCTTTAAAAATATTTTATTGAAATTGTATATAATGTAACAAAATAAGGCAACTATACATAAAATCGCTGGAAAAATTATACTTCGGTTCTAGAAAATTATATTTAATAAGAAGATATCACATTGTTACACAAGCTTTTGCGACATATATTTGAATGTAAAAAAAAGAAACAATATTTCATAAAGTTCATGTTCCTTGGAGGTCCTTATTATGAAAAGCTATGCTGCCTTGTATTACTCTGATACATTCTATTCTTTATTAGAATTCAATCTTTGTGCTTGGCAAGGTGTTGTGGCATATATTATATGCAGAACTGAGAAAGAATATTTTGCATGTATATTAAGAGCTACATATTAATCATCCTGGCTTCCAGGCCATTACAGTGAATTGACTTATAAGTTGCTATGAATCTGGTTATTCTATGCAGGGCACTTCAGGTAAAAAATATTTTATAAACAAAGAAGGGTAGGAAGTAGTAGTTTACTGATTTTTTTTTAACTTTCTTGAAATGACATGACGTTTTTGGAAGTATATCTAAAAGGATTTCAAATTTTCTCATGAATAATTTTACAGTTCCAAAGAGGTTGGTTTTGTGATAGGAAAACTGTTCATTTGTGTTTGTAATGTGGTCTTTGAACTGTACTCTGAACTTCCATAGCTCATTTTAGAGGTAGTAGTTTGGGTGGCATGCCCTGTAGTCCTTAGCGTATTTTTTTTTACGACGATTTTTTACGGTAATAATTTTGTTACTTTTACTTTTGCTAGTCATTCTATTTCTTGACTCAGATCTTAGTATATTTATTTAAAATGTGACATGAGGAAAATATATATATATATTTAGTATATATATATATGTACACGAAAGTTTTTCTAGAAGGGTCAATTTCTTACACATATAAACTCTGTTTTTTGTTTTTTTGTGTGTGTGTTTTGTTGTTGTTGTGTTTTGAGACGGAGTCTCGCTCTGTTGCCCAGACTGGAGTGCAGTGGCACGATGTGGGCTCACTGTAAGCTCCGCCTCCCGGGTTCACGCCATTCTCCTGCCTCCACCTCCCGAGTAGCTGGGACTACAGGCGCACGCCACCACACCTGGCTAATTTTTTTGTATTTTTAGTAGAGACGGGGTTTCACCGTGTTAGCCAGGATGGTCTCCATCTCCTGACCTCGTGATCTGCCCACCTCAGCCTTCCAAAGTGCTGGGATTACAAGCGTGAGCCATCTCACCCGGCCAAACTCAGGTTTTTTAATATGCACGAATGCAAATACACATTCCCTACTAAATCATGCTACTAATTTTTATATTCTCATAAATTTAGACAATGATGTTTAACACGAAGAAATAAAAGCAAGTGTCTTTTAAATATCAACCATGGACAAAGTGCCAATTAAATGCTTAATATTCAACTTAATTTTAACTGTAATCCTATAAAGTCAGTACTGTCTCTAGTTTGTACAAGAGAATCATTCTCAAAAAGTTCAAATACAGTTTGACCAAATGTATAAAATAATGAGGAACATAAACACAATTTAATCAAGGATGTAATTCTATATTTATCTGCCTACATGCCTGAGGACAATTTTGGTTCTAGAATGTGATCATTTCTGTTGCAGGATCTATACTCATTCTGCCTCCATTTGACATGGTGGCTGTAACTCCTATCCAGTATCCTTTATTCATTTCCTTAAGAACATTATTTAACCTCTATGTGTGTGTGGTTTTTTTTTTTTTTGTCTCTTCCTTCAAAAGGAAGATAAGAACAATATCTATCTCATATAATGGTTGTACATTTTAAACAAAAATAACTTAGACAACTGCCTGGAAAATATTCTAAAAACTATTACAGTATGGTTCTACTAGTAATATAGGTGGTAATAGTGGTGGCAGCATTAATAGTAGTCGTAATGGTAGCAGCAGTAGTAGCATCAGAAAAAGGAGTAGGAAGATAATGATATACTGTTCATTGACTGTTCCGTAGTGGAAATTTACTTATATAATAGATATGAATTAGTTTACAGTAAAGCACATACATGTAAGTTTTCTTTTTATTTTGTTTCCTAATCAGTATTTTAAAGGTGTATCACCTGTGAATTCTACCAATTCCTATGGCATACCTTCTAGATAAGCTTGATTCCATTTCCCCAGCTCCTCATTGTTGGTCTCTAATTGTCAAATGAGGATAACTGTAGTTAGTTACTTTACAGATTTGCTGTGAAGACTGAAGAATACCTGCATATCAGTCATTTTGTAGACTCTAGTACACAGTAGTTCAGTGTACCTTAGCTTTTTCTACTGGCTCTGTGACTGATTTAGTCATTGACCTTGACCAGCAAGTTACATTTCCTCACTGGGTTTCGGTTTTTTCACCTGTATAAAGAAAGTTCTAAAATAAATACATGGTGAAATAGTAGAGGAATTGAACCAAATGGTTTCTAAGTCTCTTTGAACCAAAACGCAACCAAAAAAACAAAAACAACAACAACAAAAACTACAGATTATTTGAACAGCAAAATATAACCTGTAGAACAATCTAATCAGTTCAACTTATATTTATTGGTTTACTAAAGCACACATGATAAATATCTTACATGCAATTTTGTTTGTAAGGAACATAGGCTGGGTGAGGTGGCTAACGCCTGTAATTCCAGCACTTTGGGAGGCCAAGGTGGGCAGATCACCTGAGGTCAGGAGTTTGAGACCAGCCTGACCAATATGATGAAACCTCATCTCTACTAAAAATACAAAAATTACCTGCTCATGGTGGCATGCACCTGTAATCCCAGCTACTTGGGAGGCTGAGACAGGAGAATTGCTTGAACCTGGGAGGTGGAGGTTGCAGTGAGCTGAGATGACTCCATTGCGCTCCAGCCTGGGCAACAAGAGCAAATCTCCGTCTCAAAAAAAAAAAAAAAAGAAAGGAGTATATGCATATAGTCTTTAAAAGTATAATCATTAATTGTTATTCTAATAAGGTAAGAGGATGGAAGATAAACATTTCGATTAATTTTTTAAAAACACTACAGTTCTTAATGATCTTAGTAAAAAAGAAAGTAACTTTCTCCAGTATTCTTGCCACAAGTAGGTGAGATTTGAAGTTGTTTAAATTACTGCCAAAAGCAAGAAGAGGAGATAGAGAGAGAGAGAGGAAGGAAGGAAGGAAGGAAGGGACTGGCAACAGGAAAGAGAGACTATAATAGACCAAATGGTGGAGTGTAGGACTAAGAACACAAGTGGAAGACAGATTGTTGATTAGGTGGATATTTTCCTGGTCATTAGACTTAGAAAGAGCAAAGGCTGGGGGCAGACAAAACACATTTGTGCTTCTGTGCAAAGTATAGTTCCTTTCCATTTGATGCATTCAATTACTGCCATGAAATAATGAGTTGTTGAAATGGTGGTTCTTAAGAATATACTGCACAGAACCAGATATGAAGACAGAGATGGCTCACAGTATGCATTAAAGAGTTTTTTTCCCCTCTTATAACAAAAAATGGGGCTTTAATATAGGATTTAGTCACAGGCTAACATGATAAAAGCAATATTTAAGGAACATTCTTGGCTGCTACATTAGAAAGAGATAAAATAAATTGGATAGTAAAATAGAAAATAACATGCCAAGAGATGTAAAAGCTTCTGCTTCTGGCTATGGTTCTTGACAGTATCTAACTATGCAATTTTGTGAAATAAATTCACCTCTAACTTACCTTTTAAAATGGGTTGTTCCAGCATTATCCAGATCTAAAATTATGTCAGTAGAAGTAGAGATTTATAAAAATCAAGATAAAAAATATGAGGGCTTGTAATAAGTGGTTAACACTAAAGTGGAGGGGGATTAGCTAACTAAATAAATAAACGTGTATATTTATTATTTATATGATTGCAAAATAAAAATAAGGCTATTAGCATGATCTTTCATGACCAGAAATCACAGTTTGAATCCTGGTTTTTCAACCACTCTGACAAAATGGGAATAGCAAAAATATTTAATAAAGTTTTGGAAATGGTTAAATAAGAATATACAAATAAAACCTATCACAATATGGACCATTATCAATGTCCTTTTCATTGAGGATTGGATATTGCTGAAAGAAGGGAACAAACAATAAGGACCTATAAGGTGTTACAGTTACTCCAACCACAGTGAACTATCTATTTACATCCATCATGTTTCCCTTACTATGAGCTGCTTTTTAGATTGATCTAAAATCTAAAATCTGTTTCATAATTCTTCCTGAAATTTCCCCAAGTCTTACTCCAAGTTCCTCTCACTTGATGCCATAGTCTCCAGCCTACACTTTAACCCTGTACTCCCATTGTGCTTGCCTTTATCTCTGATTTTATTTGTGTTAGTTGTTTTTGTGTGTCTCTAATTCTGCATCCTTCATGTTCAAGGCAGTATCTTTGATTCATGCTTGTGTCACAGACAACTTAATATAGTGCAAAAGGTGGCCCTCAGATGTTTGATAAAAACCAGAACAAACATACAAATAGGTTTGGGAGCTTCATATCTGAAGAGCATGAATATATCTGTACTCTTAATAAATTCTCCAGATATTTCACATATGTATTCTAAAATTTAGAAGAGCTCACACTAGTATTAAGTAGGATTGAATCAATCAATAAATTGTATCTGTATTAAAATTTGTAAGGTAGTATTTGGAATAAAAATATTTAAAAGCAAATGGAGTTTGTTAGTATGTCTAGAATGAATAAATTTATATTTCATTTTTGACTCTAGGAGACTAATACTAATGATACTAAAATTGATGAGAAATTTACATGGCACATGTATACATATGCAGCTAACCTGCACATTGTGCACATGTACCCTAAAACTTAAAGTATAATTAAAAAAAAGATATTTGAGACTGGAGAAAAAGTTAACAGGGGGGCTCTTTAGTTGACCTGTAATTTTGTGAAAAGTTGTTGCAATCCTAGTGATGTTCAAAAGATCCATGGAATATTTTGGAATCATGGAAGAGTCTTGTGGGAAAATACACACAACTCCGGTAACAAATTTATATCACTTACTCTACTATATCACTAGTTTAACACTTTATATACTCCTCACATTCTTGGTTCAACTTTCTATGGCGTGATCTATTTTGTTATATAAATTATATGTCACTTGAATTATGCTTTTTAAATTAAAATGAAAAATAATCTTGTATTCCACAATCTCTACTTTTGATAGATTCTTAGATATTAATGTTAAACCAACCCATTCTATAGATTCATAAAGTTAAGTTACAGAAGTGAAGTAATCCAATAAAACCGCATAGCTCGTTACTGTCAGTGCTTTAGAATCCTCATACAGCTTTGCAAAAATATGCTTAACCAGCCACTAAATTCTCTAGAGATAAGAAGAGGAAAACCTGGAGTAAGGAGAGGAAAATAAGGGTCATGGAAACCAAAGAAGAGGGTTTCAGGAAAGAAGCAATAATTAAAAGTGTGAAATGCACTTGAAAGCTCAGAAAGGGAAGAATTGTAACAGATGGATTGAGACTAATTGCAGATCAGTGGTGATTTTATAAAGACAATTTTGTAGAGCATGCAATGGTGAAGCAAATTTAAATCTGATGATGAAAAAATGGAATAGCTCCAGACATTTATTTGTGAAGTATGGACATGAAAAAAAGGTAAGAGAAAGGAGGAAAATAACATGCCATGAGCTCTTCCTACTTGTCAGTGACTAGGCTAAGTGCTGTAAGTATACGCTAGCCTATTTACTATGTGAACAATTTATATCCTACATATTATTTTATTAATTATAGAAAAAAGTTAAAGTTTGAAGCAGTTGTTTGGAGGGTGAGTATTATAACGTAATTTACAAATCTAACACACCGTAGGTGATAGAATCAAGACCCAGAATATATGTAAACTTGAAGACAAAGATGAATGCACCCTGAGAGAGACATACTAGCTAGGACAGGTTTCACATTTGAGAGGAAACTTCTCAAAAGTCCAGAAGAGATGGTAATTCTTCTGGTAATAGAGTAATAGGATGGATAAGCTTTACAGAAAAAGACAGTATGTTAACCTGGTAAGTTTGAAGTAAGAGATAGTAAAGGTTTATGTTAATTACCTTTCTCTGTACTTGTTAAAAAGAGCCTAGCTTTCTTAGCTGCCTCTTTTGCTGAGCAATATCAATTTAAACCCCCAGATTACCACTCTAATGACCATAGAGATGTATATATCTTTATTTATCTTATATGTTGTGTTACAAACCTATAGTTTATGAACTAGAAAGATGACTCTAGCTAAAAAACATATTTCTGTTTCAATTAAAAAGAAATTTAACAGTGTTAATACTCCCACTTTTTGTTTGTTGGACATTTTCTAAGAGGATACTTGATACTGCATGGTTATGAGTAATTGTTTGCTTAAGGATGACCTGGCTTACTAGTTTACTAGCATACTAGCATTTTTAAAGATAATATAAAAAATCAATTAGTGTTATTTATTTTTAACATTTTATAAAATAAAGCAAATGAGATTCAAAAGAGAATAGATGTTCTCCAGGTTCATCCATGATGTTGTAAATGACAGAAATTTTGTATTTTTTATGGCTGTGTAGTATTCCATTTTATATACCACAATTTATACATTCATCCACTGTTAGGCACTTAGGTGGATTCTATGTCTTGGCTATTGTGAATAATCATACAATACACATAGGAGTACAGATGTCTCTCCAATATGCTCTTCAATTACACAGCAATTTAGCAGTATCTGCATAAGCAATTTTATCAGTTACACCCACCTACTATTGGGTATATATTCAAAGGTATGAAATTAGTATCTTTTTGACATACTGATTTCATATCCTTTGAATATATACCCAATAGTAAGATTGCTGCATCATTTGGTAGGTCTAATTTTAATGTTTCAGGGACCTCCATAATATTTTCCATTATGGCTGTGCTAATTCACATTCTAAGCAGTCGTTGGAAGGGCTCCCATTTCTCCACATTCTTGCCTCAGATTATCTTTTTTTTTAAATAATAGTCATTCTAACAAGAGTGAGAAGGTTTTGATTCAATTTTCCTAATTATTAGTGATGCTGAGCATTTTTTTTATATATCTGTTAAGCATTTGTGTGTCTTCTTTGAGAAATATCTATTTAGGAATTTTGTCCCCCTTTTTAAACAGGTTGTTTTTTCTCTATTGAGTTGATCGAGTTCCTCATATATTTTGGATATTAAACCCTTAACAGATGTATAGTTCACAAATATGCAAATATTTTCTCCCACTTTTAGGCTGTCTCCTCATTCTGTTGATTGTTTCCTTTGCTGTGCAAAAGATTTTTAGTTTGCTGTAATCTCATTTATCTAGTTTGCTTCTCTTGTTTCTGCTTTTATGCTCTCATCCAAAACATCTTTGCCTAGAATACTGTCATGAAACTTATGTTTTCTTCTAGTAGTTTCATAGTTTCAGGTATTATATTTAAGTTTTCAATCCATCTTGAGCTGATTTTTTTCATATGGTGAGAGATAAGGGTCTCATTTTATTCTTCTACATGTGGATATCCAGTTTTCCCAACACCATTTATTGAAGAGACTGTCCTTTTCTCAGTGTGTATTCCTGGCTCCATTGTCAACAACCTGTAGGCTATAAGTGTGTGGATGTATTTCTGGGCTTTTTATTCTGATACATCAGTCTATGTGTCTGTTTTCATGCCAGTACCATGCTTTTTTGGTTACTATATTTTTGTAGTATAGTTGGAAGTCAGGTATTGTGATGCCTTCAGCTTTTTTTATTTTTAAGCCAAGCACAGAAAGACAAATACTACAATATCTTACTTATATGTGGAATCTTAAAAAGTTGAAATGGTAGATGTTGATGGTAGAATAGTTACCAGAGGCTATGAAGTATAGAGGAGAGGAGATAGGGGAGAGATTCATTAATGATATGATGTTACAGTTTCATAGAAAGAATAAGTTCTAGTGTTTAATTTCATATTAGGGAAACTAGAGTTAACAAAAATGTATATTTAAAAATAACTAAAACAGAGAACTTTGAATGTCTACATTTTAAAGAAATAAGAAATGTTCAATGTGATGAATATCCCGTTCATCCTGACTTGATCATTACAGAATATATACATGTATCAAAACAGCACAGTGTACCCCATAAATATGTACACTTACTGTGTGTCAATCAAAAATAAAATGAAAATTATAAAAAGAATAGTTGTTCGTCAGTGCTCCACAATTATTATATAGTGAATACATAATAATATAAGAAGGAATTTTAACAGTCTAGCAAACATTTGTATTCATTAAGGAGAGCTTTCACAATCAGACCCAATCAGACCCTGATTACACAGCAATTTAGCCATATCTGTACATGCAGTTTTATCAGTTACACCCACATTCTATGTGTTCAGGGATTGTTTGGGATACTGTGAAAATATAACTGCAAAAATGAAAAATTCTTCAGTTAAAATTGGACAAAGAATTTTATAGATTAAAAACATCATCATTTATGCCTGGCGAGTGCCAACTCACAGTATCTCATAGAATGGAAGAATTAAAATAAGTGTGTGCCTGCCACGTCACCTAGTTTGATGTGTTGATCTTGAGTCTTACTTATTTTCAAGAATCCTATAATATAACCCAGGCTTTATCAGTGAAACATTATCTTCTCCTACTCCCTAATGTAAATCCTGCTTGCAGTCAACCCAACTTTCTGGATGACAGCTTTTTTTTTCTCATCCATACCTTGGGCTCATTATCTTTATCTTTTCCTTTTTCTCTAGCAATCTTCCACTTATTATACCAAAGTATAATTAATCCTCCATCTCTTTTGTGGAATATTATTTAACCTAATTGCTCTCTTTTACCTCTGGATTCCTTATCTATGTATTGTTTAGATTACTCATTTCCACTCTTGCACATGCATGCATGTATTTTATTTTCCTTTTAGACTATAAGTACCTGGAGAATAATGCGTTTTATACATCTTCATTACTGGAGATTGATTTATGTGATAGATATTCACTAAGTAGATATTCAAGTTAATCGAATTATTTCATTGTTATGCATTAATATACAACTACCTGGTGTTGAAAATATTCCATTTTGCAACGTATTTCTAATGGTGTTGCTTAACTCCCCCTTTAAAATACTGTCTTCATGACCTCATGACTTTTAATGTAATGATAACATTTACTATTTGATTTCTAATAATTTCTTCTTTGGTAAGTTTAAGCCCGTGGATTATTTTCTTTCTATCCTCTTGTCTCATTCGTATTTCTGTACATGTTGAGTAATCTCCTCTTTATCATAAACTTTCTCCTCAAGTTATTCAGAATTACCCTTACATTAAATATCAAATCATTTAGGTCAGTGTTTCCTGGATTGAGTAACGTGACTACTGAGGAAAAGAACAAAATAAAGAAGAGTAGCATAAGAAAAGAGTCATGCAAATGTCTATAGAAGTTTCTAAAACTTCAAATTTATTAAACTTACACATATGATAAAATTGTGTAGAACTATATACACACACAAACACAACGCACACATACACACACACATACCAGTACTCTTAATCTAGGGAAAATATAAATAAGATTGGTTAATTATAACAGTGTGAAAATCCTGTTGTTATACTCTACTATAGATTTTGTGGGTAACTGAGTAAGGGTAAGGGCATATAATATTTTAATTATTTATGGCAGTTACATATAAATCTACAATTATCTAGAAATTTAAAAGGTCACATTAACTTAGTTCGTATTTAAATTTTGTCCATATGTCTTCATAAGGACTATCTCACCATAACATATCTGTAGGTGCACTTCAGAGATGAAGAAACTGAGCCAGGTGGGTGAAGGGACTTGCAAAAAATGCATTATGTCTAATACTTCATGTCAAACAGCAGTAGACAAAGAATAGATATAGTCCTCTGAAAAAGCACACATTGGCTAACAATTGCCAACTATGTAAGACGTAACTATATGTATGGAGTGAAATTGGGATTCCATATATTAGCAAATATTTATTGAATGTTTATCATGTTGTGAGATATTCATAAAGACCTAATATTTTCAAAGTTGGCTTGAGTTTAGCACTTTAAAAATAAGCACTCATTTACTCCTCTACAAATCTTAAGTATGAGGTTGGTATTTTTGTTTATCTTTGCAGACAAGAAATTTTGACATTAGATGCTTAAGTAAGTGATAGAGGCAGAATAACCCCTCTGATTCATTATGCTGCAATTCAAACAGAAAAGTGAAAAATAATGAGTGATAAAGAAGATGCTAACATAATAATTAACAATGGTTCACTATCTTATAGTGTTAGTCTTCTTTAAGTCTTCTTAAATGTCTTCTTCAGCATTTTATTTTTCTTTTTAAGAGACAAGGCCTTGCTCTGTCACCCAGGCTAGGGTGCAGTGGTGTGATCCTAGCACATTGTAGCCTTGGACTCTTAGGGTTAAGAGATCTTCCCACCTCAGCCTCCTGAGTAGTTGGGACCACCGGCACACGCCAGCATGCCTGGCTATTGTTTTTTTTATTTTAGAGATGGAGGTCTCACTATCTTGTCCAGGCTGGTCTCAAACTCCTGGGCTGAAGTGATCCTCCCACCTCAGCCTCCCAAATTGCTGGGACTATAGGCATGAGATGCTGCATGCAACTTTCTTTAGAATTTAGACTTATGTAGTCTTTAATGAAGGTGAACACCATCAGATGATGAACTATAAAATTATGAATTATTGTTTATAATAAATTATATAATAAATATCAGCAAAGAGCTCAATATAAAGGTAGTAATCAGAGAATTGTAGATGTTTTTGATCAACTATGTCCTAGCACCAATAGTGGAAAGAGGCCAGGATGAGAAGCATAACAGTAACATAAACAAATAATAAATTGCCTTCAAAATAGAGATTCCTTTCAGTGAACTCTAAAAACCCTAGAATTTTTTATTTTTGGAAAACCTGCTCTATTCTTAAATTTGTTTTATTATGAAATTTGTGCTATAAAGCTGAAAATAGTAAGGTGGCCTAGCATTCTTTTTCATTTTTATTTTTTTATTTTTTATTTTAGTTTAGTTTTTTGAAACAGGGTCTCACTCTGTCACCCAGGCTTTCTGCAGCCTTGACCTCCCAGGCTCTCTGCAGCCTTGACCTCCCAGGCTTAAGCAATCCTCCCACCTCAGCCTCTTGATAACTGGCACTATAGGTGTGCACCAAAATGCAGGACTAATTTTTGTATTATTTCTAGAGATGGGGATTTGCCATGTTGTCCAGGCTGGTCTCAAACTCCTAGGCTCAAATGACCCAGCCACCTCAGTCTCCAAAATGCTGAGATTACAGGCGTCAGCCACCATGCCTGGCCCATTTTTAAATAAAAGCAAATGACCATAATTTATGTCACAGTGCAATGCATCCTAATTTTTCAAATGTTAGAATTCTCTTTTTAGGTAAGGGAATTTTACACATCCACATAAGATATGAATTTATTGTTTCCACATGAATTTATGACACCAATAAAATAATTCCAAAGGCCTCTCACTATCGACATTTTGAAACTATTTTTAGGGGATTTAAGAAAATTCACCTTTGAAAACTTAGGATTTCTTTGGCATATCATCAACCTGGAGTAAGAAAAAAACAGGCAAATAATTATTCATAGGTAACATCGTGTCATGCTTTTTTAAATTTTTCTTCTTTGCTTTGTCTGCATAACACTGAAACATATTTGATGGGTGTTTGGCATTATTTACTCATTTTGCATTATTATTTTAGGCAGAATGATTTGGGTTTCAAGTGAGAGAATTCCAACTTGAAATAGGCAGGATGTGATGAATATTTAGTCTCAGAACAAAATTTGTGAAGGCTGAAAGTATATTTGGCATCAGGGATCCTAGACCAGAGCATCAGATGCCATCAAGATATCTGCTGTCAGTCTATATTTACTTCCTTTATATATAGAGAATTTTTTTTTAATGCACAAAAATTTTGCACAATGGCTGCCAGCAACTCCTGAGCCCAGAAAATTTTGGGTTAGATCATCTTTATTATAGCTAAAGAGATGGGAATTATGGTTCATTGCCAGTACCAAACTACAGGGTTTGATGAGGAGAGAGGGGGCAATTCCCCAAAGGAAGGAGTTGCTAATATAAAAAGAAAAATGTTCTGTAGACACAGTTAAGTTGGTATTTTGTCATTAAAAATTTCTTTTTTTTTTTTTTTTTTTTTTGAGACGGAGTCTCGCTATCGCCCAGGCTGGAGTGCAGTGCCATGATCTCGGCTCACTGCAGGCTCCGCCCCCTGGGGTTCACGCCATTCTCCTGCCTCAACCTCCCGAGTAGCTGGGACTACAGGCGCCCGCCACCTCGCCAGGCTAATTTTTTGTATTTTTGGTAGAGACGGGGTTTCACCGTGTTAGCCAGGATAGTCTCGATCTCCTGACCTCATGATCCTCCCGCCTCGGCCTCCCAAAGTGCTGGGCTTACAGGCGTGAGCCACCGCGCCCGGCCTTGTCATTAAAAATTTCTATAAGACAACAATATTCTCATTCAGACTGCATTGTAATTTTTTTTTTAACTTTTTATTCTTTTGTACTCATGAAGGTGAGATAAAACAGGAAATAGGTAATCAAGCACACACATCAGCATGCACACACATGCACACATCTGATAGCTCATTCTCCATTGCAGATCCTCATCTTCCCCAGCTCTCAACATTGCAGGAGCCTAGAGCTCAGTCTCTGAATATATCCTGTCTTCTATCTCTGCCCAGTCCCTGGATGAGCTCATCCATTTTATGGCTTTAAATACTATCTATATACATATAGCAACCAAATTCATATACACAACCTGAGCTCTCCCTTAAACTGTACTTTTACAACTAACTGTTATCAAATTTAGTAAGGCCAAAATGGATATATTGATTCCCACTGCACTTTTAGTCTTCCAGATCTCAGGAATGGCAATTTATCATCCACCTGTTCAAGTCAGAAACCTTGGCATCATCTCTCTCACAGTGTATATCCAATTCACAGGAAATTTCTTTCAGCTTTATCTATGAAATATATCTATTTACACATTCTTTCACTCCCCCATTATCTACAGAAACCAGTGGTTCTCAATTGAGGGTCATTTTGCTCCCTAGCCATATTATTGCATATTATCGGGCAATATCTGGTGATATTTTTGCTTGTCAAAACATGAGGGTGCTACTATCATTCAGTGGGTAGAGGTTAGAGGTGCCATTAAACATCCTGCAAAGTACAGGCAGTCTTCCACAGCAACAAATTATCCCTTCAAAAATGGCAAGAGTACCTAGATTGAGAAACCCTAATGTGCACCAAGATTCCATTATCTCTCACTGCTATTTTCCTAAAATGTGTTCCTAAATAGTCTTTAAATTTCTTCCCTAGCTACCCATCTACAATCAGGTAATCACAGAGGAGTCAGAAGGATCCTTTTAAAAAGCTCTTTAGATGAAATAACTCCTCTGCTTACAGCCTTTGCAGGCATCCACATGGTTCACATCATCGCTTCCTACTGGTCTGTGCCCAAATGCTGATATACTGTGGAACCTTTCATGCCCACGCAAACTAAACTAGCATATGCTTGCAACACCATTCTCTGTTTCTTAACCTGCTTAATTTTTTTTTCTTAACATTTTACCAGACACATTATATACTTATTTACCTTTTTATTTTCTGATTTGTTAAACTAGAATTTCATAAGGAACATTGTTTTTGTAAAGTGATATATCCCCCAGTCACTAGAACTTTGCCTAGTACATGAACCTGATAATCATTGTTGAATTTAACAAAATATATTTTGTTTTTTATATATAATAAAATCACCTTTGATAACTTAGGATTTCTTAGGGATCTCATCAGCCTGGTGTAAGAAAAAAACAGGTAAATAATTATTCATAGGTAATATGCCATGTTTATTACATTTTATATATAATATATATGTATATATAAATATATGTGTATATATTTTAATATATGTATATATAGTATAGTTTGGATGTTGATCCCTTCCAAACCTAATGTTGAAAGTTGATCCCTAATATTGGAGATGGGACCTAATGGGAGGTGTTTGCATCATGGGGGTGGATCATTCATGAATAGATGAATTCCCTTTCTGGGAGGGTAGGGAAAGGAGTTTGTTCTCACTCTATTAGTACCACAGACAGCTGGTTGTTTAAAAGATTCTGGCACCTGCCTTTCCTCACTCTTGCTTCTGCCCTCTGACCATGTGATATTGGCACACATCAGCTTCTCATTACTTTACCCCATGAGTAGAAGCTTCCTGAGGCCCACATCAAAAGCAGATGTTGACACCATGCTTCTTGTGTGTCCTGCAGAACGATGGGTCAAATAAACATTTTTTTAAAATAAATTACACAGTCTTAGGTCTTCCTTTGTAGCAACACAAATGGACTAAGACACCTAATGTAATCGTTTATTCATATATTGTGTGAATAGTTTTGAGATACTATTGACCTCTCTTAGTTTTAAAACCTTTTTTTCTCATTTACAAAAATACTTCATATTTTTTTTCTGTCAGAATATTAACTGTCCATGTACTATTTTCTTGTTCCTTCTTTTCTGTCCATTCTTAATTGCTAATAGTCCTTAATCCTATCTTCAGCTTTCTTTTATCTCACATTAATCATTTTTTCTTAACACTTCTTTCTAATGTACAACCTCAGTTACACCATGACCCTGTCATTTCGATCCTTATCTCAGCTTCTCTCCTAAATTTAGACATATCGAAATGGAAATATCACTCAATTCCTTTAACACAACATGGCTCACCCAAATCACAAAGCAGCTGATTATACAGGTTCAGGTTTGTTACATGGTTATATGGTATGATGCTGATCTACCAGTGTTCTTGATTTTCATTAGCATTGTCACCTTTTCTTTTTTCTTCTTTTGAGTTGGAGTTTTGCTCTTTTTGTTCAGGCTGGAGTGCAGTAGCGCGATCTTGGCCCATTGCAATGTCCACCTTCCCGGTCCAAACAATTCTCTTGCCTCAGCCTCCTGAGTAGCTGGGATTATAGGCTCCTGCCACCACTTCCGGCTAATTTTTGTACTTTTAGTAGAGACGGGGTTTCACCATGTTGGCCAGGCTGGTCTTAATCTCCTGGCCTCAGGTGATTCACCTGTTTTGGCCTCCCAAAGTGCTAGGATTACAGGCATGAGCCACTGTGCTCAGCTTACCTTTTCTGTTAAAACAGAAAATTGCAAGATATTCTTCTTTAGTGTTTTATTATTTTCTTTTCACACTGGTTTGAACAAAAAATCCTCATCATCTGTAATAAAAGTAATTATATACTCTGTTTTAGCCTTTCCATTGTTGCTTCAATGCCTCTCTTCCAGACCTCATTATTTTTTGCTTGAAATATTATAACTTTCTGTTGAATTCCATGCCAAAAATTTCAATTTTGCATATTGCCTTCAGAATTGTATTCTGTCAAAGTTTTGATAATCTCGTTCCTGATATACAAAGCAAGTAAATTTAAAATTCACACTTTCTAGCTTAGTATAACAGCTCCATCACAGATTTACATCCACCTTTGTGGTTTTATCTTCATATTCTCTTTTGACTTGTCCCTAAACTCCCACCACAAGGAACTCTACAATAGTCCCTTGCACCACCGTGTCCTTTATTACATTTTTCTTTGGATCTTTTCTTTCTTGTCTCTGGAATACCCTATTGCTGTAACCTGAAACATTCCTAATACTCCTTTTAAAGGCAGCCTAAAGGTTGCTTTATTAAGAATTCTGTAATCACATTTACCACTTATATTTTAATTTCTCACTTTATTTCTCCTCTATGAAATTTCTGTCTCCTGAAAAAAACAAGCAAATGGGAAAGGACTTCCTATTTAATAAGTGGTGCTGGGAAAACCGGCTAACGATATGCAGAAAACTGAAACTGGATCCTTTCCTTACACCTTATACAAAAATCAACTCAAGATTTATTAAAGACTTAAATGTAAAATCCAAAACCATAAAAACCCTAGAAGAAAACCTAGGCAATACCATTTAGGATATAGGCATGAACAGAGACTTCATGACGAAAATGCCAAAAGCAGTTACAACAAAAGTCAAAATTGCAAATGGGATCTAATTACACTAAAGAGCTTCTGCTCAGGAAAAGAAACTATCATCCTGTTAGGTTTCTAACAGGAAACCTACAGAATGGGAGAAAATTTTTGCAATCTACCCATCTGACAAAGGTCTAATATCCAGAATCTACAAGGAACTTAAACAAATCTACAAGAAAAAAACAACCCATCAAAAAGTGGGTGAAGGATATGAACAGACACTTCTCAAAAGAAGACATTTATGTAGCCAACAAACTTATGAAAAAAAGCTCAACATCACTTATCATTAGAGAAATGCAAATCAAAACCACAATGAGATACCATCTCATGAAAGTCAGAATGGCGATTATTAAAAAGTCAAAAACAATAGATGCTGGAGAGGCTGTGCAGAAATAGGAACACTTTTACACCGTTGGTGGGAATATAAATTAGTTCAACCATTGTGGAAGACATTATGGCAATTCCTCAAGGACCTAGAACCAGAAATACCATTTGACCCAGCAGTCCCATTACTGGGTATATACCCAGTGGAATATAAATCATTCTACTATAAAGACACATGCACATGTATGTTTTATTGCAGCACTATTTACAATAGCAAAGACATGGAACCAACCCAAATGCCCACAACTGATAGACTGGATAAAGAAAATACACCGTTGAATACTATGCAGCCATAAAAAGGAATGAGACCATGTCCTTTGCAGGAACATGGATGAAGCTGGAAGCCATCATTCTCATCAGACTAACACAGGATCAGAAAACCAAACACTGCATGTTCTCACTCATGTTAGTTGAACAATTGAGAACACATGGACACAGGGAGGGGAACAACACACACTGGGGCCAATCGGGGTGAGGTTTGAGGGGAGGAAGAGCATTAGGACAAGTAGCTAATGCATGTGGGGCTTAAAACCTAGGTGACAGGTTGATAGGTGCAGCAAACCACCATGGCACACGTATTCCTATGTAACAAACCTACACATTCTGCACTTGTATTGCGGAACTTAAAGTAAAATAAATTAAAAAAAAAAGAAATTGGTGTCTCCGTCTCCTGGAAGTGGACTTTCTCCATGAACTAATGCGGATTTTGGAATACAGTAGAAACAAAGCAACAGTAAAAGGACAAAAAAGGATGAATCAAATATTATGTATTATTAATTCCTTAAGGTGGGTATCATCAACTTCACTTTATATAAGAGAAGAAAAAGCAAACAGTACCTAGGATATATGCCCATGATCTTGAAACAATTGCTAACAGAACCAGAACAAGAAATTCAATCTCTTTTTAAAAATCTGGTATTCTTGTTATGTACTCTTTCATGGATTTGCTCAAGTTACATTGTATTGATAATAAGTAGTTAAGGCAGAAAATACAATAAACAGAAATTTATGGAATCTGACGTGGAAAATTCTAGGATATTTCTTCACCTGTCTTTTAAAATTACAGTATTTTATATTGACTTTATACATTATTTTGAAAAAGCTGCAAAGTTCCTTCAAGAAAAAAGAAAATTAGAAGTTAGGAAACTTCTAAGGAGAAAAAGAGTGGGTGAAAAATCTATGTAGCTACTGCAGACAGACAATTTTTTACTCCCTTCTTTCCCATTGTATAGCCATGTAAAAGGATTTTAGATTATCTCCATTCTGCCTTCAGAAGATTTACAGCAGGAAGTTAATACAGCACTCAGCAGAAGCTAAAACACAAAATACGCAGGGAAGGGAAAGATTGCATCAGAGAAAGATAGACTTAATTGTATTGTAGATACCAAGTGGTCTCTTTAGAAATGTGTAGTAGAGCAATAAGATGAGAAATAGCTGCACAGCCAAGCTAAACAAAAAACGATCAGCCCTCTCCCTTGAAGGATCAGTTGGGGACACTCAGGGGGAAGGGAATAGCCTGATTCCACAACCTAAAGTAAGATGTTTTCTTTACTCCAGAGAGAGGCAGATGACTAAGAAACCAGTAAAGAAACAGCATTTTAATAATAAATCAAAAGCAAACCAATAAACAACCAACAAACCAAAACACACTCCACAAGCATCACATTTGGATTTGTATGTTATTGAGTACTGTAGAGTTATTGTCTGTGACAACTGCAGTATATGGCTATGAAGGGGTCACAACTTGGATTTTGATATGACCAGGATTTTCGAATAATTTAGGAAGTAATGAAGATTTGTTATGATAGAGTTAATAGAAATGTCTTTTCAGTTTTTTGTTTGGTGGCAACTAATTTGCAATTATATACAAAAAAAGATACAAAATACATGCACTTCTCACAGGAAAAATGGGTAACATGAGAATAATTTAACACTGTAATTTATGATATTTGCTATTAAAATTGTGTTATACATTAAATTCAGTATTATATGCATAAAATATATGAAAAAAGATTGTTTATATTATCTCCATTCCTAAGAGACAGTCCATACTTCACTTTCTCAACCTGATTCCAAATATACTAGCAGTTACTTTAAAAATGATTATTTTATTTATTTTAATTGCAAAAATTATTAGAATTCGCATTTTTAAATGAATAAATCATATGTAATTAACATTGGAATAAATTAAATTGGTTAAAAGTTTGCTACCTTGAAAACTACTAAGAATATTTGATTTTATTTCATTAAACATTTTTCCATAAGTCAGTAAATATATCTGCATTTCAAATATATTGGCACATAGGTTGTTTCTATGCATTAAGTTTACATTCTCTTGCACTTTGTCATTTCTTAAAATAACTATATAATAACAATGTATCTGATTTAAGTATATTTTTACACAGCACAATTTTGCATTACTGTACAATGCTGATGTATTGCATTTATTTTCAAATTCACCTATTATTGGAAATTTTATTAATTTGCAATGTTTGGCAATTATAAATAGTTCTGCTTTCAACTTCCTACATATATTTCTGTGCACACATCTAATTATTTTCTTAAAATAGGTTTTCAGAAGTGGGAATTTTGGATAAAAGTCTGTGACTATATTTAGTGATTCAATACCTGTTGCTATACTCATCTAAGGAGAGTTTATTGCCATATACACTTAATCTTTATTTGTAAGTGCTATGCCACTGCAATCACATCATCCTGTGGTGATGACTTAATTTGTGTTCCTTTATGTGTAATGAGGTTGTTTTTCTCAGGTATTTGGATGCCATTTGCATTACTGCTTCAGAGGACCAGTTGGATGTGCCTTTTTCCATTTTTTTGGTTGAGGTATTATTTTTTAAAATCACTTATCTTTAACTCTGGATATTGCTAGTATTTTTTTTGCTACTATTATATTTTTAAATGTTTTTCATCAGATGATATTTTGTTTTAAAACATTTCTTTGACTGTGCTCCTTGATATGGTGTATGTATAAAAGTTTTACACAGCCAAATTTTTCAGTCAAGTTATTTATGTTTTTCAAGTTCCCACCACTTTTTTAACAACTAGAAAGGTCTGTGCAGCATCATCAGATACATATATACCAGTATTTACTTCTGTTTTCATTTTACTTCCATATATATAAAACTCATATTAACCTGGATTTTATTTTATTTTAAATGAAGTGTAGTAATTATATGTATTATAATTTTTCCTAAATATTTAACTAATTATTATTATTATTACATCATTTCTGTTACCATCTACTAAAATGTCATTTACACTAAATACATATATTTTCTCAATTTTGTAGCCAGTCTTTCTATTTTATTCCATTAATTTGGCTATACCAGTATAAATGTGCCCTGATTTAATTATGTATTTCAAATAATAGATATTTTTGAGTTTTGAAACATTTTGAATGATATATTTAATGTTCTTAAACTTCAGTGACCTAAGTTCTTTTTTTCTGTTTTTTTGCAAAGAAGATAATAAAAGCCTTTCACAATTATCTTCCTTTTTAAATATATGACTAGATATTCAAACAAGTCTTTATTTTTAAAATTCTAGTATCTATTGCAATAAAACTTGAAGCTGCAACTTTTAAATAATTTTTGTTTGTAAGTGGAACCCTCTTTTAATGCTGATTTGGTGATTCTTCATGAGCATAATTTTTCCTTGTTATAACTTTGATCATTGTTTTTACTCCATTTGTCTTTACTAGGAGATAAATCTCTGTTCAGAGCCCTCAATAGCCATAATTTGTTCTCATTGTTTTTCTCTGTCTTCTTTCTCTGTAGTTTCCCATTCTTGGAGTAATTTTTAAGAAAGAAAAAAGCAGCCCCAGCAGCTTTCCCCTGGGAGCTGGCCTGGGTAGCTGGGCTGTGTTGTTTCTCTGCTGAAACATCTACAATTTCACAGAATGCTAAGATTAGACAAGCGCATTCCATGCCCAGGATGGAGCATGTAAGAACAAGAATGCTCCATAATCACAGCTCTACACAGATGAAAACAAAAACACCATGAGCACCACAAAGAAGACCAACCACTCCTCTGGCCAGCATCTGCCAGTAAATGTGACTGCTGCTGCTGCTTTAACCTGTTAGGGTGTAGCACACTCCATTTCTCTTGCCCCATAAATTAAAAAAAATTAAAGTATCTAATTACTGAAGTCCCCACTTCCCTTTCTGAGACCACTCAAACAAAAGCTAATTCCTACTTCTTTGAATTCTCCCCCAGATTAGCTAACATGAGCCCAAATCCAATTCCGTATCTCTTTTTAACACACTCTCACTCTGTGGGTTTTTCATTTCTTGTTGTCTCCCTTACTTCAACAGGTACACATGCCAAATTTGCATGACTATATATATACATATACATAATCTGTTCCTGAAATTTTCAGTAGTGCCATCTATAAAAAATGATTTATTTTAATTGCAAAAATATATTAGAATTCACATTTTTAAATGAATAAATCATATGTAATTAACATTCAAATGTATGACATCCCTTCATGCAATGTTTTGTATTCTTTTTCATTACATACTATTTTCATAGATACATATTTATCTTTTGAAAATAAGAGGTGATTTAGACTATTAGTTCTAGAACTTTAAACATTAGTTTTGTTAAGATCCTTTATATGAAATCAGAGGGTCATGGTGATTTTATCCCTCTTGTAGGTTGTCTGGTAAACATTTGAAACATGATTTAATGATTCAGCTGTCTGCAAAGTGGGAGGAAGAAATGTGGCCAGTTCCTGCAAAATAAAGTCACTTTGTTGAATTTCTATTTAAGCCTTTGTAACAGAGAGACACTACTTTTTGTTTCAGCTTTGATGACTTTTCAGGTCCTAGACAAGGATGTGGCTGGCCTTTTCCTGGAGCTTCTGACTTCCACATCAGAAAAAAACAAAATGGCCCCAGAAAGAGTCCCTGTTGGATGCAATCATGATTGTACTTGGATATGTAAAACAGCTTCTTGACAATATAGTTTCTCTGAATTGGCCGTAGGTCTGTCTCATGGCTTCCCTTAGCATTTTCATGCTTTGTTTCAAACTTGTGCCTTTAAGCACTTATTCTTTGCTTACTTCCCAAATTATCAACCGGGTTTTTGAGAAAGGCCCAGAGTTTGCTCTCATTATATCTTTGTATTCTGATAGGTATAATTTCACTGATTAGGTCCAAATCTCAGACTTTACGGCAAGCCATTGTAACCTCTTTCCCTTCTTCTTGGAAAGTGATATCACTCCTGAATTTATAATAAAAGGAAATAATAACTTTTTTCCCACCTAATTTATTTCTATATCCAAAGCCAATGTGTGTGTATATATATATATATATATATACACATTGGAGATATATATGTATATCTATCTATCTATCTGTCTATCTATCTATCCAAAGCCAATGTAAAGCAGATTTTTTAAAACATAAAATGAAGTTTCTCTAAAGTGCTTGTACTTAGTGGAAAACTGAAGCTCTTTCTTTTTCTAGCCGCTTTTGTGGAAACATTTTAGAATCTTTTTTTTATGTTGAAAATATTTTAATGTTTTTTTACCTAATCTAAATCTCTCACATTAATTAAAATTATTTTTTGATCTGTTTAAAGAGGAAATTTGATTCCAACAGTAGGATTTCTCACTATTAGCATACGTGTCATACTCTTAGCAAATTGCCTTTTCTTTAAACGAGCACGAAATTTAGTTAATCAATTACATATATAGGTTATCATCCATTGACTTTGGCTGTCAGTTCAGTCCTCCACAATCTAGTCAGTGTATTAGCCGTAAATTAATGCTGTTTGGTATACTAAATAAAGTTTAATATTTCTGCCAATAATTAACTCTTTATAACAGCTTAATATTTCTTGGCTTCTACTTAACTCCTGTGTGACCTTGGAAAGATTACTTATCTTTCTGATCTTTAGTTTTTTAATTTGTTGTCTATATATTGTCCACCTTATGAAGAAGCTATGCAGATCCATAAAACCTTGCAAGGATATAAAGATGGATTGGGGTATTATTAGTATCTTCTCAGGAATAAAAACTATATTTTCTGGGTCCTAGAGAAGTACTTTTTCTGGTTGTGATCTAAACAAAATTTGATCATTCTGACTAATGCATCCAACCAGCCAGGTTTAAAAAGTTTAGAGAATCCAGAAAAACTGTGTATCATTTTTCCAAAGTGTCAAATATTATAGTATAGCTTGAAGCACTAAAGTTTATTTCACTATTTATAAAGATTGGCATTATTCATAAGGGAGAAGGATGAGTAATTTCTTGTATTTTGGCCACGCATGAAACAAAAGTATATTCGTAATTATAATTGCCAAATACAGAAAAAGCTATGAAACAAGCAGAATAGCATTATTGTAGAAACATTGACTGCCCCCAATTTTTTTCTATATGTTACACCTCTTCTTCATTATTGAGTAAAATGTGACATATTTAATTTTCCTTTATTTACAATGGAGGTTTCTCTAGAGTGATAAGTAATAATATGATACATAGGATATTAGTGAAAACGGAATATAACTAATCAGACATCTATAAGTTGTCTGATACTCAAAGCACAATATTGAATAGATTTAATTAAAATTTTCTGTTTTAACACAGTTTAATTTTGAGAAGGGGAAGTAGGAGTAAACAAAATATGTAAACACAATTACTCTTTTACTATTTAAACCATAGGGGAAATCTTTATAATTGTATAAGATAATTATATAAAATATATAATGTTTCTTATCATTTAAATAGTCAATATAAGAATGAACACAAAGTGAATATAATAATAGATATGTACATATCTATACATATGTTCTTTTTTTTTTTTTTTTTTTTTTTTTGAGATGGAGACTTGCTCTGTTGTCCAGGCTGGAGTGCAGTGTCATGATCTCGGCTCATTGCAACCTCTGCCTCCGGGGTTTAAGCGATTCTCCTGCCTCAGCCTCCCAAATAGCTGGGATTACAGGCATGCACCATCACGCCCAGCTAATTTTACTATTTTTAGTAGAAATGGGGTTTCACCATGTTGGCTAGGCTGGTCTCGAACTCCTGACCTCAGGTGATTCACCCGCCTTGGCCCCCCAAAGTGCTGAGATTACAGGCGTGAGCCACCATGCCCGACCTATATACTCTTGTACTGAACAAATTTGCCATGAATCTATTCTTTATGTTATCCATAGCAATTTTTTTCCTTTCCTCAGAGATACTAGTTAAACTAATACACCAACCAACTGGATAATTCAAGGCATTTGGATGTACATCTGCAATAGTCACGGAGAAAAAAAATACATCCCGTTTAGAGTTTCCCAAAAGAGCAAGAATGGATATTAGTATTTCCATTTAAAAAGAGATTATTCTGAGCTTTAGACAGTCACATAACTCATGTCCTACAGAAGTTTGATTCTATTTTTAGAAAAGTGTTTAGAAAAGTAGCATGTTATGTAACCATGCTGGGAATAATAAAAGGCTTTATTTTGAAAATCTACATATACCAGGCTCTGTGCTCAGGCCTTTAACTGTGTAATGTCACATATTCTTCACAATAACCCTACAAGTTACATTGCATTATTTTCTCTATTTATGGATGAGGAAAATCTGATCTAGAATGGATAAGAATATTGAAGGTGTTTTTTATTTTATAGAACTTTTTTTTCTGTTAGTCATAAACCATTTCAGAAAAGTAAAACTGCACACATTAGTAGAATGTCTCAACTTCTGTGCCAGTATTATATATATATATATATATACCACCTAGTATATGCTTAATAAATTCAGTGTCACTGTCATATGATTTTGTGTTACTTATTATAACAATGCCTAAGTTACTTTTTTAGGTTCTTTATGGTCTATGTTAGTCAGAATAATTTCTTTTCAACTTTCTTACAGTGCCATATATATATATATATATATATATATATATATATATATATATACACACACACACACATACACACACATGTGTACACACACACATAAATATGTGTGTGTGCCTGTTTGTGTATTAAATGAGTGTGTATATATATATATACATATATATGTATATATATACACATATATATATATATGTGTATATATACTCCCTGATTCAGGGAATGTGTGTGTGTATATATATATGTATTAAATATACATATGTATAAATTAAATATGTGTGTGTGTATATATATTTACACACATTTAATCCATGCATTTTTAAATTAATATTCTAACTATTTAGATTAAAAATATTGTTTATTGATATATAAAAGCAACTATAGGATCAAGGCATCAAAGTTGCATTGAGTTTTCTTCTTATATAATTCAACATTTGTTAAATAACACAAATGCGTCCTAATTTTGAAAATATCTCACTAAAAAAAAGGGAATGATATTCCTGTGCCTTTCCCTCAAAAAGGATAGCTCTAGTGCTTAGAAAATAAATCATCTATGATTTACTCTAATAGCTAAATCATTCTGGAGTACCAACAAAAAATCAGGAAGCTACTCTGCATGGAAGGTTTTGAAAAATGCAGTAACATAATATTAATTGACAATTTGATATATGAACATTTGTGGAGCTGGGGATATTTTCTAAAAATTACAATAAATACATTTTATTTTAGGAAAAAATACACATAAATTGCGTGAACATCCTGACTGCTATAAGCCTACACATTATTTTGATGTGAGTAGAATAATTATACAACAACATAGCATTCCTAGGCCACTAATTCACAGATCTAATTCTTAAAATCATTCCAGGTGTCCTAAGAGAAATGAAATACTGTTCTAATAGAAGTTTAGTGTAATCCTTGTGTCAAAGGATTTTTAGGGTGTTGCTTTTCCAGCCAGAAACCTCTGCGGGTGGTGGTTTTGTTTTGTTTTGTTTTGTTTTCTTTTGCTTGGGTCCGCTGGGCTTGTTCCACCCACTCAGCCTTGTATGCTGTGCTCCGCTTGTGCTACTGGCCGGGATCCTATGTCTGCCATGGGTGAGCCAGGTGCAGAGTAGTGAGGGATGCGTGAGCAAATGAGCCCAGGGTCTAGCCACTGCGCAGAGCCAGATATGCCAGCTGCTCTGGCAGCACGGGCAGCTCCAGGTGCCAATACAGGTGCTGGCTCTGTGCAGGGGTACTGCTGGATCAGATGTACTGCAAGCAGCCTCCACTGTGGGCACCTGCATGTAGATGAGGGAAACATGGTGGCGTCTAGAAGCTTGGAGACGCCAGGAACCACAGAGCCCCAAAGAGGGTGTCACACCCCTGACTCAGAGGGCCCGTAGGTCTTTTCTTCTCAAAAGGCCACAGCTCTTTTCTCCTTCTCATCACCCACAATGTGGTGAGAGGGGTAGGGCATGTTTCAACCCTGATTGTGTTACAGCTCTTTCAGTTCTGCCATTCAGAGGGACCCAAGTACTTGGCCAGTGTCCAAGAAGAATGAGGTATGCAGACAACAGGAGGGTGAGCGAGCCAGAGAGGAGCTTTACTGAATGACAGAACAGCTCTCAGGAGACCCAAAGTGGTAGCTCCTTTCCCCAGGCAGTGTGTGAGTCTAGCTGAGTCTGGGAAGTTTAGGTCCTCAGAATGGAGGAAGTGCATGTTGATTGGTACATAGGCAGCCATGGATGGGCCCGGAAAAAGACCATCCAATTGGCCTAATGGCCATCATTGAAGTTCTCACTCCAGTCTGCTGACTTTGCCTGGAACTGGTAGCCTGGCCCCCACGCTTCAGGCCATCCCTGGCTTGAAGGTGGGGTTTCACTGGATACCCACCCCTTCCTGCCTAGGAACCTGTCTTCCTTTAAAATGTTGTCCATGGCGCCTAGGCTGTCCACACCAAGAGGCACCTTCAGGCCCATGCCCAGTGACCCTTAGCACACCTCCAATACCCCTTCCGCTCTCATTGGCACTCAAAATTCGGAGCAGGTCGAGTTGGCAGGGGGCTGGTGTATCAGCAACCCCCTGAGCATGTGCACATCTGGCCAGGTTGTGACAGTATCCAGGCTTGGCCACAACTTTCCTCACCCCTGGAGTGGGCACTGAGAGCAGAGAGAGGCCAGGGAGTGGGATCAGGCACTTTCAAGCCTGTGGGGGCAGGAGACTTCCTGGGCCCCCAAGAGCGCAGGGATGCCATGGTCTGAAGCTGCGGCTGGGAGGCTGCTGCTACACCTGGGAGCATGGGCCCCTGACCCACCAACTCAGTAAGTGGTGGGGCTCTTGCCTGTTCTCAGTTCCCCCAGGCTCTGCAGAGCGCACATCCCCACACCTCAACTGCTGCAGTCGGCATCCTCGCAGCGGCCGCTCCAGATGGGTTGTCACTGCCATCACTTGTAACTGGGAAAAACTCTTGAAGATATTGAATGCAGCTATTCTCTTGGCCTGGCCCTTTAACTTAGAGATCTTAAGCTGTATCTATAATTATCACTTTGTTTCAATTAAGTTTTCCCATTTTATGTGACAGTGATAATTTTTACTTGTGATACTTGTTTTTCTATTTATCATCTTTATAATCATTTATTACTTATTCATTTTTCACCCATGCAAAAATAAAAATTGTAGACAAAAAGCATTGCCCTAACATTTTGAAGAATGCAAAAGTGAGGATGACATATTGACTTAATGATGTGTTAGCCTAATGCAGAGAAGATGAGGCAAACAAAATATGCAGCGGAAGTTGAATACATGGACAATAACTATGTTTCATATAACTTTGTTGTCTCGCCATCCAGTATTGGAAAACTTGAGCTCGATGCATATCTATTGAAAGAATGAGTGAACTGCTGTTTCAATATCAAAGCATGACTTTGAAACACAACACAAATAAAAAAACACAATAATAAATGCAGTGATACACTATGTTATATTCTGAGTGGTGTATAAACTCTTTTTTCAAGAATCTGAGAGTTATTACTGACTGTGGCTCTTCTCTACCTTGCTCTATCATCCTTATCTGTCTTGCAACTCAGAACAAAAATCACTCTCCAGAATGATAGCTGATAGGCTATGTCTGACCTAATAAATTTTGATAAGTCAGGAGTTTTTGCAACTCACCTGAAGGCTTTGATTTAGAATCTGTAGGCCTGGGTACATGAGATGGCAGGATACAAGGGTACTAAAAAGATGGGACTCTATGAGTAAGTAGTGAGGAGAAAGTACAAAATGGGTAAAGAATTTTCCAGATGCTGTCAATTTTGTTGCCTTTATCTTCCTCTAATCTCCACATTCTATTTCTTTTATAGATGGGACCAACTGATGATCAAAACCAAGTTCAGTCTTGTATTGTCTTGATAGAACCTACACTATTCTAGCCTTTCTGGGAGATAATTTCTATTCATTTGCTCTGGGTTTCAGCATAAAATTATCTTTTTGCCAGTTTAATCCTAAATTAATGAACTTATTCCTTTAGATAGGTTTTTTTTTGCCATTTTCTTGAGTTCTGCTTTCTGTTTTGTTTCAACTTGAAATTCGAAGCACCAAGTTCTTTCCTCTGAACCCCATTCCAAAGGCTATATCCTCCTGTTCTATGAAAAAAATTATCAGAAATCAAGAGCACGAATTCCTGCACAGTCAAGAGTTACTCATCATTGATTACTGACCTCCAGTCCATCTTCTCAAATATCTTGCTTATTTTTCTTGAGTGCACTGTCTTTATATCGTTCAGATGCCTGGTTCTAACTTCTAAACCAGACTTTTTCCAAGCATCTATCCCACTCTACCTTTTAAGCTTGGTTACAGTTTCTAATCCTTCTTGTTTTATACTATAGTATAATCCTAGTTATGGAACAAAAAGTGGGTCACAACGTAGATGCAGCTGCAGAAAGAGACATAGTTATGAGCCAGCTCAGGATATATAGGACTACAGAGGAAGCAGCCTGAAGACATTGGAGCTAATCTTAAACTGTAAGGAACCCTAAAGGGAGCAGAATCATAGCCTGTGAGAGTAAGTAGAGGGAAGTAGGGCTAGACCTAGAAAAGAAGCTAGCTTAGCCATTTGACAGGCACGAACCTGGGAGATGTAAGTTAAAAGTTAAATGATTTTCAGATTTATCTTAGTATTCTGCTATGCTTCTGGCTTCCAAGGGTATACCCAGGAGTCTGCATTAGAAGCCTTTGGTTTGTTTCAGGTCTGATGAGCCAAGAGATTAGAACTGTACTGCATTGGGTTAAGTATGCTATGATCGATCGATAGAAAAAGGATCTTGTAGTACACCCTTGGTTCTAGGCAACCTCTCATAATATGGATAGGTCTTACAGATTTAGGTCAAAAGAGGTTTAAATAATTTTCTGGATATATCTTGTTTTTTCTGAGTCCTCCAGCATTGAAAAGCAGGAACCAAAAATAAGATTCTTAAAGTCACAATTTTAACATTGTTTGCTGCAGAAGTAGAGAATCTGAGAGTTCAACACTGTCATTTCCTCATCTTTTGCATTCATTGGTAGCACACACAGATGCTAGGACAGTTGGTTTCATTGGCAGTGAGTCTTTATTACTTGCAAGAGTGTGCCCCGCACCCCTGGGTCTGTGCCTTCTGAGAATTCTGACCATCTGCCCTTCAGGAAAGCTTTTTACCCAAAGTGCATTAGATTATCTTGCTCAATTTCAATACATACCAAAACTGAGCCTCCCGGCATTCTGGAAACCATGGTATAAATAATGCTTAGATAAATTGGTGTCCCAGTTTCCATATACTCTATCCTTATTATAAAAATATCATCCTCATGGACACAATTGTCTCCAAGAGAGAAATAATACATTTCTATTGTTCAGAAAGCCTGTTCCATCTAGTGATATTTTTCTAAAGTATGTACATACTAATCATAGGGAAATTCTCTTATAGGCAGGATTATTATGGTTCATTTCCTATTGTCTTTGTTTAGTGGAATCTGTTTTTTCTTCAGAGTGAAAATTAGATGGCTAAAAGCCCCTGAGCCATGATGGGAGTTCAATTGGTTGTCAAATATGTTAGCCAGTGAAAGTCCATGACTGCATATTCAGAAACACTTGTAAGGTTAAGAACTGCCCAGTTTTAAGATGATGCAAAGCTGTATATTTTTGTTTGCTTGTTTGGTGGAACTGTCATACAGAGTTATTAGTACAAATGTGGAACTCAATTTGTGAAATGAGTCCCGAGAATAAAATAATAGTTTAGTCACATATACTATGTATCATAGGCTGATGTCATGTCACCTTCAGGGAGTGTTTAACCAAACAAAAAAAGGTCAGGCAATTGTGGAATTCTAAAAGGGTGGGTCAAGCCATGCTATTAGCAAATAAAGGGAAAAGTAGATAAAATGCTTCTAGACTAGAAAAATTCAGGGATGGGCAGGAACAGGAAGCATTATCCTTGGGCATCATAGTATTTCAATCATAGTGGAACCAGTGAGTCACTTCTATTAGGGAATAGGATGAGAAGGGAAGACACAAAAACAATATAGTTGTTCAGCTGCTCTGAAACTGGGGGTCTGTGAATATAGTTGGGATCACTAGCAGGACTTGCACTGATCAATACTGAGCTACTGACCTGTAAAGCTTCTCTGTCTGTGGAAAAGGTCTAGCACAGGATTAACCTAACAGTCTCTTGCGTGACAGTCGGTGGTGTCGAGAGAGAGAGAGAACACATAAGCTTTTACATGCGGAATCCAGTTGCAGGATATTTAAAGCCTAACAATATAGCCACAGCCAATGCTACAACTTAGTGATGAGGGCTAAGATACACAGTCTCCATTTTTCCTTTCTTATTTTAGATATGGTTCTAGTTCCATTCATATCAGAAGAGATACAACCTTATACCTCTCCACAGAATCCACGAAGAGTGAAAAAGAAACCAGCAAATGCAGAAAAGAAGACTAATGTTCATTCAACAGCTCATATGTGTCTGGCATGTGCTAAGTGCTTTTCCTATTTATTTCATTTGAAAGAAAAGCCTCGGTGTTATTTTCACGGTAGAATTTTTTTTCTAGAAGTATATTATTTGATGTATAATTTGAAATGTTTATAAGAACATAATACAATTGTTCTTATAAACATAGTATAAACATGTTCTTATAAACATAGTATACATAGGTAGTATAAAAATATTACCTATTTTTAAATGCATTTCATGGCTTTCTTCTCACTTGTAAGTAAACTATGTAAGAATATGTGTAATTGCCATTCTTGCTTATCATGACTTTCCCCGCTGGTTCTCAAAAACTTTTTACTGATTTGAATGAATGAATGCACAGATATATGGGAGCTAAATCACCTTGTCGGGAGCCATGATCTTTAAATTCAGGTGTATGCATTCCAGACTTTGTACAGATGATTTAACAAAATTTGAAAAATAAATATAATTTCAAAATCGATTTCTTGTCTTATAAAATGTATATTTTATATTTTATAATTTATATTATATAGTAGTAATCAGTATATAAATATATATAACCACATAAACAAAAGAGAGTCTTTTTTTTTCATAGATAGAGGTTTGTGACCAAAAACTTTCTAGATCCCTAGACCAGATCATGTCAGATAAATCTACGTATAGTTGATAATTCTCCCACCACATATCCTGGAGCTATAAAGACAAATATACACTGTGTTTATACACCACTAATGCTTGTTTGAACAAAGTTAGCCATATTGAAAAAGAGGAAAATAGATTAAGAAACGTAGTTCATTAATAACATTATGTATCCACAGTCATTAGTCAATGAATTATTATGTTTTTTATTTTATACTTTCTATTACTGTCTAAAGTGAAATTCATCAGGATTAATCAGTGAAATAAACTCAGCCTCTGAGGAGTTCATATCTCACTTGATCTGAATTTCATCTAGGAGCTATTAGAGATGGAAAGTTTGCATCCCCTGAAAATTTATTTGTTGAAATCCTGACCTTTAATATGATGTATTGATATATGGGGCTTTGAGGAGGTGATTAAGTCATGAAATGGAGTCCTCATTAATGGGATTAGTGCCCTTGTAAAAGATAGCCCAGAGAGCCTCTTCCTTTTTTGCTGCCATGTGAGGAGAGAGCCATCTATGGATGAGGTAGGAATTGGGCCCTCACCAGAACCCAATTATTCTGGCATCCTAATCTAGGACTTTCAGCCTCTAGAACTGTGAGAAATAAATTTATGTTTTTTATAAGGCACTCAGCCTATGGTAGTTTGTTATGGCAGCCTAAGACCCTATTTAGTCTAAAATAGGGTCTTAGACCTAAACCATAAATAGATACTAAAATTTGCATCAACAATAAAATACTAGATTGAATAAAATCTTGGGATTGGGAGGAAAGCTAGAAATTACTTATTTTATACTGAGTCATCTTTCTGGGAGGAATTAAAAGACCTATGACTCTTAAGACACTAAATGGAACATTTGGTTAAGAGGAGGAGTGGGGGCACATATTGATCTACTCTAATTCCCAGGATAATGTTCTTTCTATTACATTAAAGTAAATAAAAATCAGAGACATAGACATTTTATTTTATTTTTCAATTCAGTGGTATGAGCGCTGCAGTATTTTAAATATTTGAAAGAGATTAAGAATGGCACCATACAAATTTTTTAAAAATTTGTTAAATTTGTGGTTATTATATACATATATTAATTCATTTTATGAATTAATAAACACACACAGGAGACAGAAAGAATAGTGAGAACAAAACATTTATAAAATTTCATCCTAAAAGCAAAATTTGTTAATATATATACAAACACAAAGGAGACAGAGAATAGTGAGATCAAAACATTTATACAATTTTATACTAAAAGCCAGATATTTTATTACAGTTTAAAATTTGCTTTTTTGATTCACATTTATATTATTCAGTTTTTCAATCAGAATTTATACAATTGAACACAAATATAAAATGATATTGACTTGTATATCATTTACTGTGATTAAATTAGTCATTATTTTGGTACAAATGAAAAAAATATTTAGAGAAAATTATTTTACTCTGATTTAAAAAATTGATATTATTTCTGCATAACTTTAAGAGATTCTCATTGGGAAAATATTGACCAAAGAAATGGTGTCGATTTACATGTTTTATTTATAAAATTGAGAAAAGTCATATATTGGGCAGAAACCTGGTGCACCTTCTCAGGTGTGCTGTATTGCCTGTTGCTTCCATGAAGATCAGCACTCATCATTAGATGGCTTTCCACTTTCAGATGGGACACTGATGATGAGCAAGCAATGTAAGTGACCTGTCTGGAGGGATAAACTTAGCCAACACAAACTCAAAGGTAAGGGGTAGCTGGTCAATTACATACCCTTTCTTTTCTATCTCTGATAGACTCCTCCAAGAGACAGTTTTATTCTTCCACCTTAGCAGCTATATTCTATAACGTCAAACTAACAGAATGCCTGGGAGCACTCCTTGTCTTTCCGGGCCTCTTTAGAGCAGTAGGTAGCACAATCAACACACCTCACCACATTGTTTCACGCCATTCTTTGCCTCAGGTGTCTTTTTCCCATAGCCTCACCCCTTAGACATATAACTCAAAAACAGTCACAGCACCGGAGAGGATGTGGAGAAACAGGAACACTTTTACACTGTTGGTGGGACTGTAAACTAGTGCAACCATTGTGGAAGACAGTGTGGCGATTCCTCAAGGATCTAGAACTAGAAATACCATTTGACCCAGCCATCCCATTACTGAGTATATACCCAAAGGATTATAAATCATGCTGCTATAAAAGGCACATGCACACTTACGTTTATTGCAGCATTATTCACAATAGCAAAGACTTGGAACCAACTCAAATGTCCATCAATGATAGACTGGATTAAGAAAATGTGGAACATATACATCATGGAATACTATGCAGCCATAAAAAAGGATGAGTTCATGTCCTTTGTGGGGACGAGGATAAAGCTGGAAACCATCATTCTCAGCAAACTATCGCAAGGACAGAAAACCATTTGCCTCATGTTCTCACTCATAGGTGGGAATTGAACAATGAGAACACTTGGACACAGGATGGGGAACATTACACACCGGGGCCTGTCGTGGAGTGGGGGCAGGGGGGAAGGATAGCATTAGGAGATATACCTAATGTAAATGACGAGTTAATGTGTGCAGCACACAAACATGGCACATGTATACATATGTAACAAACCTTCACGTTGTGCACATGTACCCTAGAACTTAAAGTATAATAATAAAATAAAATAAGATAAAATAAAATTTAAATAAAAAAAAAACAGTCACAGCACCTACGATTCTTACTACATGATTAAAGATAAACTATGGATAATTATGTACACATGTATGTATGAATGTATATGTATGTGTGTATATATACACATAAATATGTATGCATTTGTGTATATACCTGCATTTAAAGGAAACAATAAATGTTAATATTACACCAAAAAGAACATTACACCAACAACTAATGCATTTCTGGATGTTATAGAAATTTGCATATGCAGTAGGAATTGTTAAAAATATTGTAGTTTTATTCTTCCACATTCAACAAAGTTTTTTTTAGCCAAAAAATATTTCTGTTGAGTTTTCAAATGCAAATTCTTGTTCAAGCTGTGATAGCATCATAAATGATGAATGGTTCACATCAAAACATGCTCAGTAAGAATAAAAGTTATAATTCTATGATGTTTTCTGATGAAAAGCAAAGGAGAGTGTCAAGGATCTTTTAAAATATGTACATTTCATTTGTATTTAATAAGTGACAATTTCTAAAGACAAAGAATGGTGTACTTCTATTGTATAGAAGAGTATTGAAAAAAGTGGATACTTTACCATCATTCTTCATGCAATTTGAATACATGTCTCTACTTTTGCTGGAGTGGTTTTTATTTGCTGCAGCTTTCCAGTTTGTTACAGTTTTGTGGCAAGATGATCATATTATCTTTTTACTATGTACAAAATTATTTTGCATTCCACTACAAGCTTCTCTTTCATTTCTTTAATTGCCATATATCTATTTTTATACATTATTTTAGGTATTTTATTTGTATTGCTGTTGTTGAAGGGCCTACTTGTTCATATTTTTAAAGTTATACTTCTGTTATACGCTTTTAGTTTTTTGTGTGTAGGGGGATGAATATTTTCATTTTGACCATCATGTTAGCACAATAATATATCTTAATCTCAGTGATAACTAAGACCTGTGGTTTTAAAATTGAATACTATTCAGCCTTTATAATTGTGATGAACAATTAGGTGGAGTTTCACAGTAAGTTGTTTTGAGGCATTATTTCAAAAAGTAATGTATTTGTCTTTACTACTGAAGAGCTTTGTACTGAATCAACAAAGCAAAATATACATAGTTAACATAAAATACATACTTGAAACATAATTGTATTCATTTCTTATGTCTGATGTAGGAAATTACTATAATCTTGCTGGCTTTACACAACACAAATTCACTCCCTTACAGTTCTAGAGGCCAGAAGTCTAACATCAGTTTCACTAGACTAAAATCAAGGTGTTTTCAGGACTGTATCCTTCTGGAGGCTATAGGGAAGAATCTATTGCCTTTTCTTTTGTAGCCTCTAGAGGCCATCTAAGTTTTTAGTACGTGGCCCCTTCCTCTGTCTTCAAATTTCGTCATTCCAGTTTTGGCTTACAGCATCACATTCCCTTTTCCATGACTCTGACCCATCCTGCATCCCTATTCTAAGTACCTTTAAGATTACATAAGGCCCACCTAGATAATCCACCAACATAGCTTCTATTAAATTATACAGTAAAGGGGATAAAATTTGGTTACTATTATATATACACACATATATCACATATGAATTAAGAGCAATTAAAAAAAGACACAGGAAGGTACTACAGTTCTTATTTCTTGTCATGGGACTGTAGCCTTCATACATTCAAAGATTGCTTTGCCATCAGAAAATGAGGCTTTTACCTGGTAGGTAGACATAAGCTTTCACTGTTGAAAGACTTATGGTAGTACAGTGAAATAATCTTTTTTAAAAAATGATTCCCTCTTAATACTAGATGTAGAAAACCTTAGAGGCACCTGGAGAATTCTCTTGATTCTAGAGACGTTATTGCCTGCCCTTATTGTGAACAACAACTATGATTCCCCTTAGTCATCAGGATCTATCACCTCAGCCACAAGAGTCACTTCAACTTCAGCTGATTTAGTGATCAGTTTGCAGCTCCAACTTACAGTTCAGTGAGACAATTACTCTGTCTTGTTTAAAGCCTTCTTCCCTTGGGAACTAATTTCTCTAAGCTAGAAAAGCCCAAAGTGTGGGGACAGGAAGAAAATATTTCACAACTGGGTCATCAGAGGTAATAGAGGAATGAACTTCAACTCTCCTTCTTCATGCCTGGACTCATTGATCCTGCTTACCAGAGTAACTATTATGCTGTATAATACGTTAACTGCTGTTTCAAAGAATAGACTGAATTTGGTAGGAGAGTGGTCCAAAAATGTAATGTGTTGTGGCAGCAGCAACACCACCACTGAGCCTTTGACAGGATATTCTATTATTTTCTCAGGCCATCTGCTTCTGGATGATGAGAAAGATAGGAAAAAATCAATCTTATTGGCTTCAAATCCATTATCTTTCTGGTCAAAATCAATGATATTTGGAAAATCATCATGTATATAAGGCTTTCAAGAGTACCATGGATGGTGATGCAGGCAGAAGCATTGAAATCAGGGAGGGCAAGTTCATACTCCCAAACTTGAGTTACTCTAATGTAGAAAAACAAATTCAACTTCTGATTTAATGCAATCAGCCTGTTTACAGCTGATTGATTGGTGCCATACAGCTCAACTCTTCTCAGTCTCTAAGACACTTAACATTGTGGTTAGTCAGATCAGGCTGGTAGAGAGGAAGCCAGTGTGGTCGAGGCCAACGTATTTGGCATACTTAATAAAGAAGAATGTTGGTTTCTCTTTCTCTTTCATCTTCCATGTATTATGTGAGTACCTCTCATTCTTGAAATCTAAATAGTATGTGAAACCAAGGAAATCTGAGAGAAGCAGTTTTGAATCTTCCAATGTCTTTAACACAGGGAGGAGCTTAAAAGGAACGAAGTTTTGTTTAGTAATAGGAGTTGAAATCCAGCACAATGTGTGTAATACATTATATATAATAGGAATAGGTTACAGATAAAGTTTTGTTAAATGAATAAGTAGTCCAATATTCTAGAATCATTGCATCTATTTCTTCTAATATAATAGTAACATAAATTTTGCTCATTAGGTATATGTGCATCATGCAGATACTATTCATTTATTTAATTTATATTAAATATGCACAAAACTCCTGGATATTTGAGATATTAGAGTCAAGCTGATTATCATTTAAATATAACTTAAATGAGCCATATTCTCAGTAGAAGGTATCAAATAGTATTTTTTTCTGTATATTGAAAATACCAATATTCATTTTGAAATAAAATATACACATTATACATTCTGAGGAAATTTTTGTCCACATTTTTCTAAAATCTACCCATTTATTTTTTAGCTGTTTATCTCAGTCTCTAAGTTTTATTTAGAGCTGTTCTGTATAGCAACATATTTCATATTTTTATTACCTCGTCAAATAGTTTTGGTAGTCTGTTTAGGTAAAATCTAAGTTATATTTATTTACAGCTCATATCAGTGTGATTTATTATTTATATTTTATCAATCCTTCGATATTCTAGATTCTCATAATAAATATAGAATCTTTCTATATAAATTAGTCTTTACTTTCAAAATAAGAGTTTCTCAGGACTGTAGCAGAAGTTTTTATATTATCTATGTATTGGAGCACTGTATCTTTAAACAGTAGATTCCAAACAGAGAGATGACAGGCAAAATGTTCTTTCTTCTCTTCATCCTCATGTTTCCCTCCATGCTAACCACAGTTCTGTGGGTCTATTAGTATATTTTGCTGTTGATTTGAGGTCAGGGTGGGGATTAAATTACAAATCTTTAGTAAAAATGGATTTTGGTGTATTCAAACTAGGGTTGGATTGGCAATGGCACAATATTCAGCCTAGCGTCGCATAATTATTTGTGATCATTAATGTGATATTCTATGTGGCATTCAGTATGTAGTATTCAGATTACCATAATTTTTTCTATAAACTTGAATACTTTTGGAAAAATTATTTCTAAAATTAATGTATTTTAATGTGCCTCATTTCCAGAAGGACTTATTGAAGAGTGGAGGGCGGGAGCAAAAAATGCTTTTTAAAACTAAAACAAAATGAAAAGAGATGCAACGTTGTAACAGGTAATGTAGCAATTGCTACAGAAAAATACATGTTGTCAAGTAGAAAAGGCCTAAAGATTATCTAAAGCTGTATGGCTACATGGTCAGTTACACAATGCATAATTTCTGTAAATTGAACAAAACAAGCAAATGTTTTCCAGTGGTCTTTTTACAACAAGAAAATAGATTTCATATTGCTAAGGAAGTTTTACCTGTAATCCAGAAATTTAGATCTGAACCATTCTCTATTATATATATGGTGTGTGTGTGTGTGTGTGTGTGCACGTGCGCACGTGTGTTTGGAAGAAAACAATGTCTATTATAACTTCAGTGCAGACTATAGTAACTTTCAGCTCATGACCTGTGTGGTTGTTAATGCCATCTAATATCCCACCAGGAACATACTATGGAATATCATAGTATTTTGTACTATGCCTTGACCTTATTATTATTATTTGTTTTTGCAGCAGTTGAATAACACATTTGTATGGTTTTGTTAGGGTCAAAGATATTATATATGGGAGATATGGGGATTTAAAAGACAATGCTTCATAACTAGATTGAATGTTTGGCTATAAAGACAGACCAGAATTATTGCAACTCAAGTGTGTTATTGGATCCAAGGAGATAATTATTGATTGACATATGGATCACAGTTGCGATATTTCAACTTGGCTTACAGGATAGTGACAATCTCTCTCTCTCTCTGTCGCTCACTCTTGCTCACTTTCGCTCTCACTCTCTGTCTTGTTCTTTCCCTCACTCAATCCCTTCTTTCCTCTCTCCTTCCCTACCTCCAAAAGCTGAATTGTAGTTTTTGAAGTATAATATGTAGCATTCCACAATTCATTGTTTCTTTATAATTCTTAATCTTCATTGCCAAGTCTTTAAATCTTGCTCACTGTGTTAAACTCTTTATTTATTTACAGTGACTATTTTCATGTAATTTATAATAATTGCCTGCATTGCACTTCCATTCTTTAGTTAAGAGTATTTTGGTGAAAAGAGAGCATTCATTAAATTATTCATTAGATTCCAAAGAGAGAAAAGACAGGATAGGGCTTTCATTGAACAAGTACTTTGAGGTCAGAGCAGGCCCAAGCCTGTCCTGGCTCACAATATGCTAAGCATTTACCACTTAAGTGTAAATGAGCTTAATTTATCAACTGAAAATGAAGGAAATACTTCCATATCATACAACACCTCACTGTTGAAAAATATCCTGGTGCCTAATAGGCAATTAATGTATCTTAGCTCCTTTTATTTCCTTCAAAATAGGCATTCAGTTTTAGATATAAATTTTTAAAATATTGTAATGTTTTTTACAGGCACATTAAAATGTCTTCTAAACCTCAAATTATTAAAAAAGTTTTCATGTTGCTAGCACTTAGTTCCTTCTAATTTCATTGATGCCATAAATGAAAAATTATTTGTCCCATTGCCCATATCACTATAGTATTTGCTAGTTATTTTAAATTTTATAATACAAATTTTAAAAATCTGTGAAATAAAAATCCTAACAATATATTATTTTGAAATGGCACAAACAATATCCTACCCTGTTTTAATCACTTAAGAAATATTTTCAGTTTCCTTAAATCAGCTTGCTTTGAAATATCTGACTTACTTTAAATAACACAAATGCAATCCAGCACACAAATTTTACTGTTGTCCCTGGAAACTGCAGAGCTAATTCCCTGTGCAGTTCACATAAAATATATCTCCTAGTGTCCAGTTTGGTTTTATCTGATGAAGCAAAGCAGAGAAAATAGAGTATGTAAGTATTAGCATTGCTTGTTTGCTGGCAAACAAAAGATTTTTAGCTAGCTGAATTATTTAGAAGTGTTTGGTGTGTGTGTGTGTGTGTGTGTGTGTGTGTGTGTACATAATTCCTCCTCATCCTTCTTTCATGAATACAAGAGAATACAAGCTAGAAAAAAATATTTACAATGCAGTCTGATTCTGGCATGAGAATACAGTTATTTCATTTGAAATTTTAGTGATACAATACCAAATCAACTGTGTTAAATGGTTTTGTATGACAGGACTAATAGTAACTATTTTTGTAAAGTGAAAAATCATTGTGCCCTTTTGCAGCAGAGATGAAAATTGCAGAGTGCTGCCAGCATTATTCCTTCTCTCCCTAACAAGCCGTACATAAATGCAGTAAATCGCAGATGTTGTTGATTCTGTTTGCCTTGCCTTACCTAGGAAAATCACAAAGACTTTACTTCTATTCTCATTGGAATCCAACAATTATCATCAAACAATATTAAGTGGTGAGATATCATTGTTTCACTTATTCAGATCAGTAGAGTCTTGGACCTATATGCCCCTATAATAAGTGCAAATTAATGCGTAGGATGTAATTTACGACCAAGTGTGGTCTCCTTTTCTTCCTGGCAGATTTTGACAGTCACAAACTATTTCTTAATACTGCCAGAATGTCTGGCTTCAATTCCTTTTTTGTGCCACCTGATCCATTCATTTACTCCACAGGTAACTAACTTTAAGTAACTAAATCTAAAAAAAAAAAAAATCAACTGAAGAGTGACATCAATGTGAATCATATCTAATATCCACAATGGCTACAGAATCAACTTTTCCTTTTACACATTGGAAGAGGTAAATAATTATAAAAGCCAAAGAAAATGTCTATTTTACTACAACATTTTGTAGACGAGGGTGTAAATTCGACTTTTTTTTTGTCTAAAATTCATCATCCCCTGCATCTCAGATTTGTGGCAAATGTCACTATATTTCAGTGTTACTTACTTAATCTATTGAACAACTAAACAGACTGAAGTGGTAACAAAAATAAATAAATATTTTTATAGTCAATAAAAATAGTTGGAATCTATAATATTTTTAGATAATGATGGGATTTAAGAGAACAGATTGAAATTAAACCTAGAGGAGGAAATTGGGGGTGTAAGAGTGTCTTAGTCAGCTCAGGCTGCAATAAGAAACAACCATAGCCTGGACACTTTAAACAACAGACATTTATTTCTCACTGTTCTGGAGGCTGGGAAGTCTAAGCAAGGTGCCCACAAACTTGATTCTTCGCTTCTTTGAGTTTGACTATTTTAGATACCTCATAGAAGTGGAATCATGAAGTGTTTTTCCTTCTGTGATGGGCTTATTTCTCTTAAAATGATGTCCTTAAGCTTCATCCATATTGTTATGTATTGCAGGATTTTTTATTTTATTATGGCTGAATAATATTGCCTTGTATGTATATACCAGATTTTAAAAAATGCATTCTTTTATATGTGAATATTTGGGTTATTTTCACATCTTGACTATTGTGAATAGGGTTGCAATTAATATGAAAGTACTAATATCTTTCTAAGACCTTAATTTCAGTCCTTTGGAATAAATACCTGGAAGTGATGTTACTGGATCATATGGGAGATCTATTTGTAGTTTTCTGAGGAAACTCCATCATGTTTAGTGGGTGCACCATTTTGCATTCCCAACAGTATACAAGAGTTGCAGTTTCTCCACATCCTCACCAACATGTGTCTTCTACTTTTGAAAAAAAAATAATAGCCATCATAACAGGTGTGAGATGATATTTCATTGTGGTTTTATGTTTCTGTAATGATTAGTGATATTAAGCTTCTTTTCACATGAAAATGGCCTCTTGGCCATTTGTATGTCTTCTTTAGAATTACATATTCTGGTGTGATAAGATTTTCTTCAAAATGGTAAAAAAATTGCAGCAGATGGAATGCAGAAGCAGATATGAGATTCCATTTGTCTTTTATTAAGCCAGATGTTAAAATGATTTGCAAACATGTAAAATAATGTCGTTCTTTCACTCAGCATATTGTTTTGGAAAACATAGTTAGTTTTACAAATATCTGCTCTTTATCTTATGAGTTAAAGAGCATATATAGTAATGAGTTTATGGATGCTATTTTAAAATTACTACCAGATAAACTCACATAAGGAAAAGCTTTATAGAGTTCTGAATAATATGTAAGAGTGTAAAGGAGTCCTGAGATAGCAATGGCTAAGCCCTGCTGCTTTAGAATGTTTTTCGTCACAAAATCCAACTATAACTCACTTAAACAAGAAAGAAATGTATTGGCCACTGTAACCCAGAAGTCAGAGGTACTTCAAGTGTTGTTTATACAGAATTCTTTTTTTTATATATATACTTAAATTCTGGATACCTGTGTGTGCAGAACGTGCAGGTTAGATTTGTTACATAGGTAAATATGTGCCATGGTGTTTTACTGAACCCATCAACCCGTCATCTACATTAGGTATTTCTCCTAATGCTATCCCTACCCTAGCCCCCCACCCACCGACAGGCCCTGGTGTGTGATGTTCCCATCCCTGTGTCCATGTGTTCTCATTGTTCAACTCTCACTTATGAGTGAAAACATGCGGTGTTTGGTGTTCTGTTCCTGTGTTAGTTTGCTGAGAATGATGGTTTCCAGTTTCTTCCATGTCTCTGCGAAGGACATGAACTCATCCTTCTTATGGCTGCATAGTATTCCATGGTGTATATGTGCTACATTTTCTTTATCCAGTCTATCACTGTGGAGAATTCTGTTCCCTGTAATTTCCTCAGCTCTTTGCCTCTATACGTTGGTTATGTCCTCAGACTCTTTCTTTTCTCCTGACCTCAAAATTGCTGAAGCAGTTCAAGCGCTCATAGTATAGAAAAGTTTGTGTTCCACAGTTTCCACTAATTTCTCTGAAATTCACTGTGATTGGATAGGTGTAAGTCACATGCCTTCCCTTTGTCAATCCTGTGATCATGGGTGTAACATATGTTGACAGGATTTTCTGTTTCTGTTTAAATGTTTAGTTGCATATTCCTAACCAGGAGGCAAAAGTAAAGTTTCCCTAAAACTACAGGAATCTTCTGTGGGAAAGACAGAAATGATGCTAGGAAAGCAGCGAAGAAATCTATTGTGCTGCATTAATGAGTTTATACTAAATGGAGTAATAGAGTTTTAGATTTATAAGCAGAAATGTCATCAGTTAATTTATTATTTTTCTCAATTTATTTAGGCCACTATATAGAGAATGGAAATTTGGGAACAAGAATGAAAGCAGAGAGGTCAGTGAAGAAGCTGTTGCTATAATCCAGAGTGTAGGCAATGGTATCTTGATTTGGGGATTGTCAATAGTGATGTAGTCAAAAGGATTAATTCTATGTTTGGAGATTTTACTAACGAACGCATGGATCCTTTGGATATCAGGATGAGGAAAAGAGCAAAATAATGTTTAGGTTTTGAGTTTAAGTTAAAGTGAGCACTGGATGATGTCATGTCCAGAAATGAGTGAGAATCGGGAAACAAGGTATTGGGGAGAACAAACATTCTTTTTTTAGGCAAGTTCAGATTTAGATGCTATTTTAGTGGTGACATCAAATAGCTATCTGGCTACATGAGTTAATTTTTAACCTTGCCATCAATATGTCTTACTGAAGTTCATAGTATACAAATAAAATTGACAATCGAATGTCATATTGACAAAATAGAATAAGCATACCTAATGGCCAGTTGACATTTTATCTGCTATTTCTTGTTTTCAAAGTCTTTTAAAGATCTTTATCTTGATATGAAAATTTATTTTCTCAAGGCTTCTAGTCTACGTGTTTCACACAAGTATTCACTAAACATGTCGTGAGCATCTATTATGTGCCATGCATCTCTCATTAATTAATATCTAATTTTGGAACATATAGATCATTAGTATTTATTCCTGGAAAAATGTGCATATTTCTTTGAAGTAAGTTAAGAAATACAATAGTAAAAATAATAAAAGTACTTATTATTTTATTTATTATATCATAACTACACTTGTTTGCCTAACACTGGTCAGACACTGGGCCAAGAGCTGAGTAGACAGTAAGGAATAAATAAATCTTATAGTGTGGTATGTCATGAATAGTGACTTACAACTTTAAATCTAAGGTCAAGTAGATATTTAGAAGATATGTGATGCAAGAAAGAATAAGAGGTAGATGTGAAAACACTGTTCTTTAGTGTCAACTAAAACTTTTTAGAGTCAACTAAAATTGGTGTAGTCTGTTTATATATAATGTCAATGCATCTAACTCCACGATGATGCCATCTAACTCAGGGATTCTCAGCCTCAGTATCATAGACATTTTGGAATAAATATGCCTTTGTCGTGGGAGTCTGTCAGGTGTGTTCTAGGATGTTTAGCAGCATTGCTGGCCTCTACCCACTAGATGTTAGTAGCAATTTCCCATTTGTTGCAACCCGAAATGTCTCTGTCAATTATTAAATGCCTTGCCTTGTGGGGTAACTCCTGCCCTAATCCACCCTTCTTGTCGAGATCACTTCTAAATTTCTAGTAATGACCTTCTAGGTAATTCTACATATATCTCCTAACATTTTCTCTAAAGAAAAAAAAATATAAATCAAATTGTTAAGATTCTTTCTGATATCACAAGACTCAGAAGATAACTTGACAATTATTATTGTCATCAGAATTATCTAAGGACGAATTCTTAAAGCCTGGAAATCTTTACAATTTACATAATATTTTCAGAAGGATTTGGAGACACAGTTAGTAAAATGGGTGATTCCTGGATCCTAGTTTTGTGTTCTTTCTACTAGACCTGTGATTTAATGCTTGCCTATTTCTGATGATGGTGCTATGAATTGCTTAGTCTCTAAGAGTTAAAATGTCTCATTGGATTTATTTTTACTTTCCTCTATTTTTTAAAGCCTGTTCACACCTTTACCACCTGCCATCAAATTAGTCACAAAACCTTATAAGTGATTCTAAAAATTCTTTAGAGCACTGGTCATTCTAAAATTTTAATTTCCATTCCTTTTAACAACTCTTTCCCCTACTCTTGCCAAAATTTTAGATTTAGATCCACTGGTTACTTCATGTTGGTACATGTATATTAGGTTCTAAATTGTTCTGTCTTTTCTCCCTATTCCTCAAAATATGTAGTACAACCACCAGTAGATGAATCCTAAAACACAACTGCAATCATAACCCTCCTCTATTCCTAAATGTTAAATGATTTCTCCAATTCTACAGAATACATTTTTGGTTATATCTTACACTCTTTAAATACAATTGTTTTTCAGTTTTAAGAACCTCCATAATCTATTTCCAGGAAAGTCATTCCTTATCTTCAAGACTTTTATTCCTAAGCAAATCACCAGTTATCATAAAGACTTTTATTCTACGAGAATTGTCCTACCAACCCTACAAAGACTTGAAGACTCTGTCATAAAGATTTTTCTACATTGTTCTTGTGGCAGAATAGCTAATTTCCTTTCTCTATCTAAACCCTATTCTTGTTTCAAGCAACAAAATATTTCTTAGTTATGCAGCTAGCCTATTCCAGCCCACAATGTCTCTCTCTTCTGAGGCATCAACATGTATATTTTTACTTGTTATTTTCAATTAACAATATACTATTATACAATATATCTTGCAATTATTTTCTTAAGTCAGCTTCTGTCAGAGGGATTTGTGCACCAACGGAAGAAGTCAAGCAAAGGCATTACTGAGTTGAAAACCCAGATTCACTTGAATCCTCTATGAAGGTCTGTCACAGGAGAGTTTATCCCGTCTCATGGCATGGATTTCCATACCACTTACCAGTGATTTATTTATCCTTTAGTAACACTTGACCACTCTGGGCATGGGGTGAGGTGAGGGCAGGATATAACTCCCAGAAACTTCTGGCCCTAGGCTCCTTTGGATGGTGTATCTTTAGCAGCACAATGGTAACCTTCCAAAGATGGTAGAGGCCAAGTGATAGAAACAAGCTCAAAAAAGCTGAAGGACAGGCACACAGATTGTAAGAGGGATCAGAGAGAATCTGAACAAATCAACAACAGTGTTTATTGTAAATATGGCCTTATAATAATTGCCATACTCTTAACCAATTTTTTGCATTTATTCTGTTTCTTTTTTAATAAATTGAAGGTTTTTGGACATCAGGGTTGGTTTACATTCCATGCATTTTGGTATCTGCTCAGCAGTAAGCATTAGACATAGTTATTGCTTGGTGAACATTTGTTAACTCATATTTAAAATTAATTAACACATATCTTTTACATGAGTTCATGCTTAGGTTATAGGTTAGGCTGTATGATGTTTAAATTATTACAGTGTTGCATAAAATGGGGAACACTTATTTGCCCATTTGGGTTTCATTTTCTCACTTTTTAAGCAGAAGCCTGGGGCTTCTGTAGGAAAATAATTAGCAAGATTTTCAAGTTACCATACCATATGATTTTTTTCCTTTATGTGTATTTCTTAATACTGATATTCTGTCTCTGCCAGCCAGTGTGTTTGCCACAAGTCATTGGCAAATTAAAATGCCAGTTCTTTTTCCGGGTATTTCAATTATAGCTTCTTCTAGGCATTCCCATGGTGAAGACTAAACTTATGCACATTGGTTTAATTTTTGTACATGTAAACTTGTGACACTGTAAACTTTTTATTGAATAATTAAATTTTTTTCTTCTGGTCTTTACCACAATAACTATAGCTGTAGTGAATTAGATGTTTAGCCAAATAAACACACCAGAAAACCATGTGTCAGTCAATATGCTGTTTTTTACTGCAAGTCCATCTTTATCAAAACATGATTAATTTATGTCTAAATTACCTTCTTGAAGAGAGAATATTCCGATAAACACAAATAAGTTATCTAGAAGGTTAAATTTTTGAAAGGTGATTCTTGTTCATCTAATGACACTGCCAAGCATATAATATTGTTAATCAAATTTGTTTCCTTAAGGTGCAATCATGTAAATTATGAGATGTTTTCAGCGTTAAGATTGAATATGTTATTTTACAACTCACTGGAAATCATCTACTTATTAGAATAACCTTAAGACTTATTTTTAAAAAGCAAAACATCAATTTCATATAAAATCTATACAATCTGCAATATTTCATTATATATAAAGAGTGTTGCATTTATATTTATCTCTCTTTATTAGGGATTCCTTTGAACCATTAGAACTGCGTGATAACAAGTATGTTAAACTTTTCAGTGTCAGCTATAGGCCCATCATGGTAGTTTGCATTATTTCTGAGTATAATCATTATATGTGTGTGTGCGTATATATATGTGTGTGTGTGTGTATATATATATAAAATATATGCATATTATATGCATATATACTCAGCTGTTTTTGAAAATTCATATTGAAGAAGTTATTATTTAAAACTTTATGAGGTACTGAAAGAGAAATACAGAGGACCAACTAGGTTGAAAATCAAGTTTTATAGAGATAAATTGATTTGGGGTTATATTTGAGAGAAAAATAAAGACATTGCATAAGTGTTGCCAGAAATCTCCAGACACTCCACTGAATACGGGTAAATTCTAGTATGCCATGCACAGTCATAATCAGTGGTGATCTCATTTATTCTCCAAGAGTTTTTCATTATGTTTCTTCCCAAACCCTAGGCTCAGTGGTATATATTTCTTTACTTGTCTTATTTCTTTATTCCCTTTTCTCTCCTTTCAGCCTCCTTTTCTGTTTTGAGTAAAATCTACTTCTTTCATCACACTCTCTAACCTTCACTGCCCTTAAAATATAATACAGAAGAGGGAAAAAAATCACTCTATAGGCAGTCAACCAAACTGGAGCCTGGAGAATTGATCCCATCATTCATTGGCCTTATTTCTTGAACTGCAAAATGAGGAAAATAATACCCACTATGTTTAACTCATGATGATTTGTAATTTTTAAGTGAGATTATATATATGAAAGCAATTTGAAAAGAGCAAAGCTTTATTAGATTGAGCCGACTCAAATATACCTTCTTCAGGAATTAATGTGTGCCCACATCTGAAAAGAATCTGTTTTCCTCCTCTGGGCTACAAAAGCCTTTAATTTATATCTAAGTTATGGGAGTTATTATATAGGATTCAAATAATCTCTTGCATTAGATGGGAAGCCCTTTGAAGTTATTATCTTTTTTTTTTTTTTTTTTTGAGGCAGGGTCTTGCTCTGTTGCCCAGGCTGGAGTGCAGTGGTGGGATCTCTGTTCACCGCAACCTCCACCTTCCAGGTTAAAACGATTCTCATGCCTCAGCCTCCTAAGTAGTTGGAATCACAGATGTGCACCATCATGCCTGGCTAATTTTTGTATTTTTAGTAGAGATGGGGTTTTGCCGTGTTTCCCAGGCTACCAAACCCCTGGCCTCAAGTGATCTGCCTGCCTCAGCTTCCCAAAGGGCTAGGATTACAGGCCTGAGCCACTGTGTGCAGTCGGCATTATCTATTTTACTTTTGAACTCTCAACATTACCCAGTGCGTAACTTTCACTAGAAAAAGTTAATTGAACAGGAAAATTTTGCCTGCATTGCTCACTCTTCCCGAAAGCACAAACTAGTGTATATTTTTCCATTTGTCATTTTTTAAATATCGGTTTAAAAGTCAACTCTGTTGAACTTCATTGGAGTCCTGTGATCCCAGAAAACAGCGATGACTTAAGAAATGCCTCTGCCTCTTATGTTCCCCATATGATTTAGGTAAGACTTAAAGATGCTCTTCTGTGTACCAATGACAAAACCAGACACATATCCTCTAAAATCCTCTTCTTTGCATACTATATGATCACCTGAACTTGTTTTTAAGCCTCTCAAAGCACTTCAGTTTGTTGAATCAACTATATTGTTGATTGAAAGTTTCCCAAAGGGGTTTTTGAAAATACAAAATGTATCTACCTGCTTCTTTTAAAAATGATCTTTGCAAAAAGGAGAACAAGAAACACAATTGCAAATGAGATGTGTTATAATTTCAAAATTTGTACTCCACCCAAGTTTAAAATGGAAATCATACAAACAAACAGTAAATGATTCAGCAAAGTAAAGGAAAGTCAGAACTAAATTCTTACAGAGGGGGATCAAACCAGTTGCTGATTCATTTCAAAACCATACAAAATAAAAGAGTGAACATAATGAACCCTGGAATATAAAGCTGGGGAGAAGGGATGAAAACAGGTGGATTATTGCAAAAGTGTTTTCTTTAATATATGATACTTAATTTATTAATCAAATAATAATTTTAATTATTTATTTTATTTTTCAACTTTTATTTTAGATTCAGAGGGTACATGTACAGGTTTGTTACCTGAGTATATTGTGTGATGCTGAGTCTGGGGTAGGAATAATATTGTCATACAGAGATTGAGCACAGTATCTAATAGTTTTTCAACTCTTCTCCACTTCCTCCCCCCAACAGTAGTCCCAAGTTTCTAGTGTTTTGAGCTTTATGTCCAGGAGTACACGATGTATAGCTTCCACTTATAAGTGAAGTTGGTTATTGGTTCCAGGTTATTGGTTCCAGGAATGTTTTGGCCCAGTCTTTAGGGTTTTCTAAGCATGGAATCATATTGTCAGTGAAAAAAGATAGTTTGATGTAAAAGTCAAATTTTCCTATTTGGATGACTTTTATTTCTTTCTTTTGCCTGATTGATCAGACTAGGACTTCCAGGACTATGTTGGATAAAAGTGGTGAGAATGAGTATCTTTGTCTTGTTCCAGTTCTCAAGGGGAATGCTTCCAGTTTTTGCACATTCAGTATGATGTTGGCTGTGGGTATGTCATAGATGGCTCTTATTATTTTGAGGTATATTCCTTTGATGGTAGTTTGCTGAGGGTTATCAGAAAGGAATGTTGAATTTTTTGGAAAGGCTTTTCTGCATCTATTGAGATGATCATATGGTTTTTGTTTTTAATTCTGTTTATGTGGTGAATCACATTTATTGATTTGCATATGTTGAACCAATCTAGCATTCCAAGAGTGAAGCCTACTTATCATGTTGTTAATTTTGAATTAATTTTGATTTGCTGTTGGACTCAATTTGCTAGTGTTTTTTTTTTTTTTTTGAGATTTTTCACGTCTGTGTTCATCAGGGATATTGGCCTTTAGTTTTCTTTTATTACTGTATTTTTTCAGGTTGTGGTATCAAGGTAATGCTGGTTTCATAGAAGAGTAAAAGAGGAATCCCTTCTAGATTTTTTGGAATAGTTTCAAAGGAAATGAAAGAAAGTCTTCATTGTCTAATAGAATTTGGCTGTGAATCTATCTTGCCTGGGGCTTTTTTTGTTGGTAGGTTTTTTATTACCGATTCAGTTTTGGAACTTGATATTGGTCTGTTCATGGTTTCAAATACTTCCTGATTCAATCTTGGGAGATTGTGTGTTTCCAGGAATTTATTCATTATCTTTAGATTTTCTAGTTTGTATGCATAAAAGTGTTCATAAAAGTCTCAGAGGATCTTTTGTATTTCTGTTGGGTTACTGGTAATGTCACCCTTTTTGGTTTCTGATTCTGCCTATTTGGACCTTCTTTCTCTCTCTTTTTTTTTCCTTTCTTAATCCAGATATATGGAGTTCTACCAACTATCAATCTTATTTATCATTTTAAAAATCAATTTTTGATTTTGTTGCTTTTTGTATGGATTTTTGGATATCAATTTTCTTTAGATCTTCTCTGATTTTAGTTATTTCTTTCCTTCTTGGGGTTAGTTTGTTTTTGCTTCGCTAGTTCCTTTAGATGTGAAGTTAGGTTGTTATCTTGAAATCCTTCAATTTTTTTTTTTTTTTTTTCTGAGACAGGGTCTCACCCTGTCATCCAGCCTCCAGTGGCATAACAGCTTGCTGAAGCTTCAAACTCCTGGCCTCAAGTTATCCTCCTACTTGTTCTTCCTGAGTATCTGGGACCATGGACATAAGCCACCATGACTGCCTAGCATTTATTTATTTATTTACTTACTTACTTATTTTTAGAGATTGGGGTCTCACTATATTGCCCAGGATAATCTCAAACTCCTGGGCTCAAGCAGTCCACCTGCCTTTACTCCCAAAGTGCTAAGATTATAGATAGGCATGAGCCATGACACCTGGCCATTCCAGCTTTTTGAAATAGACATTTAGTGCTATAAAATTTCTTCTTACAACTGCTTTTGCTGCATCCCAGAGATTTTTGGTGTGTTGTGTCTCTGCTTCCAATTATTTCAAATAATTTTAAATTTCTGCCTTAATTATACTGTTCACCCAAAGGTCATTCAGGAAGAAGTTTTTAAATTCCCATTTAACTGTGTTTTTCAGAAATTTTCTGGGTATTTATTTGTATTTTCATTCTGCTGTGTTCCAAGAGTATGGTTGGCATGATTATACTTTTTGATTTTGAGACATGCTTTATGGCTGAGCATGTACTTGATCTTGGAATATGTTCCATGTGCATATGAGAAGAATGTATATTCTGTGGTTGATGGGTGGAGTATTCTGTTGATGTCAATTATGTCAAATAGGTTGAGTGTCAAATTTAAATCCAGAATTTCTTTGTTAGTTTTCTACCTTTATGATCTGTCTAATGCTGTCAGTGGGGTGTTGAACTCCCCAACAATTACTGTGTAGCTAAGTCTTTGTGTACATCTAGAGGTACTCCTTTCATAAATCTGGGTGCTCTAGTACAGATGCATACATATTTAAGATAGTTAAGTCATCTTGTTGACTTGAACCCTTTATCAATATGCAATGTCTTTCTTTGCCAGTTTTCACTGTTTTTGGTAAAGTCTGTTTTATCTGATATTTGAATAACAACACCTGCTCTTTTGTGTTTTTTATTTGCATGGTAGATCTTTCTCTAACCCTTTAATTTGAGCTTATGGGTGTCATTATGTGTGAGATGGGGCTGTTGAAGACAGCAAACAGATGAGTCATGTTTTTATCCAACCTAAAAGACACTCCGTGCCTTTTAAGTGGAGCATTTAGACAGTTTATAATGAAGGTTAATATTGTTATTTGAGATTTTGATGCTTTCATGAAGTTGTTAGTTGAATGCTGTTTAGTTTCTATTTTGTGGTTGCTTTATAGGGTCTGTGGGCTATGTACTTCAGTTTGTGTATTTTGTAGCACAAGTCATTCTTTTGTTTCCATGTTTAGAACTTTCTTAAGGATCACTTATAAGACAGGTCTAGTGGTAACAAATTCCTTTACTGCATGCTTTTCTGGAAATGATTTTATTTCTCTTTTGCTGATAAAGCTTAGTTTCGTGGGATATGAAATTTACTGTGGGAATTTCTTTTCTTTAAGAATGTTGGCAATAGGCCCCCAGTCTCTCCTAACTTGTGAAGTTTCTGCTGAGAAGTTCACTGTAAGCCTGATTGGGTTCCCTGTATACGTGATCTGACTTTTTCTCAAGCTACCTTTACGATTTTTTTTAGAGTTGACCTTGAACAGCCTGGTGACTATACGTCTTGATGATGTTAATTTTCTATAAGTATCTCGGGTGTTTTCTGCATTTCTTGTATCTGGATGTCTACTTCTCTAGAAGATTACAGAAGTTTACTTCAATTATTCCCTCAAATATGTTTTCCAGGTTAATTTTTTTTTCTTTCTCAGTACTGGCAATATTGAATAGATTTGGTTGTTTTATATAATCCTAGGTTTCTTGAAGACTGTTCATTTTTAAAATTATTATTTTTTATTTTTGTTTGACTTAGTTACCTCAAAATCCCATTTTTCCAGCCCTGATATTAGTTCTTCTGCTTGGTGCAGTCTGTTGAAAAACATTTACTTATATTTTGAAATTTCTTTTTTTTTTTTTTCCTTTTTTTTTTTATTATACTTTAAGTTTTAGGGTACATGTGCACATTGTGCAGGTTAGTTACATATGTATACATGTGCCATGCTGGTGCGCTGCACCCACTAACTCGTCATCTAGCATTAGGTATATCTCCCAATGCTATCCCTCCCCCCTCCCCCCACCCCACCACAGTCCCCAGAGTGTGATATTCCCCTTCCTGTGTCCATGTGATCTCATTGTTCAGTTCAATATATTTTGAAATTTCTTAAGTAGGTTTTTTAATTTCAGAAGCTCTGATTGGTTTCATTTTAAGATGTTGATCTATTCCTTCATCTCCTGGATTGCTTTAGAAGTTTCATTGTGTTTGCACTCTACTTTTCTTGGATTTCATTGAGCTTCCTTGCTTTGAACTATTTATCCATCATTTCTGGGTTTCCATTTTGGTTAGGCACCATAGCTGGAGAGCTAGTGTGATATCTTGATGTATCATTACATTGTGATTTTTTTTTTTTTTATCATTCCAGAATGCTTTTACTGGTTCTTTGTCATCTGGAGACACTGACACTTCTAAGTTCTATAATTAGTTTTAAAGAGGTATGATTTTTTTTTCTTTTTCTTTTCCTATATTATTTCTCCCCCCTTTCCCTTTCCTCCCTTCCTAGGGAATGCAACTGTAGAGAATGCATGGCAAGGTCTTATGGTTTTGCTTTAATAGCCCTATGCATTTCTTTATTTCATTGGGTTTTACACAGGGCTCTGCAGTTCAACCTACAAGCCTGTATATGGTGCTTATAGGCAAGAGCCTGCTGTGGCCAACATGGCTAGGTATATACTTGATCCTTGTTTACTTGCAGAAGCTCTCTGTTGCCTCACAAATTGACTAATTGATGGAATGTAAAGTGGTCTGAGCTCCCTACTTAGCCCCAGAGAACTGGGGGCCATGATAGGCAATACTGGACCAGAAAAATGCAACTACAGGTCCCCTGATAGCAAGCACAGGCACCAGCACTGAGAGGGAATCCCATTGGATGGCACCAAGTGCCCAGATGTGCTCCTGAGTACCTGGAAAAAATCCCTGGCCCCAAGTTCTTTGCATGGGGATGGGGAATGGCCTAAACTCCTAACCCAGGAGAGTAGGTGCTCCAGACAGCTGGAGGTCTGCCTGGATGTGGAGTGGAATGGATGCCCCTGCATCAAGATCTCTGCAGTAGAGGAATGGGGGGACTCAGTTTGCTTAACCAGAAAGTAGGAGCTCTGAATGCTTAGAGATCTGCCTGGTCATGCAGCAGTGAGGGCCTTGATAAGGTTTGGCTGTGTCCCCGCCCAAATCTCATCTTGAATTGCAACTCCCACAATTCCCAAATGTCATGGGAAGAACCTGGTGGCAGATGATTAAATTATGAGGGCAGGTCTTTCCTGTGCTGTTCTTGTGATAGTGAATGAGTCTCATGAGATCTGATGCTTTTAAAAATGGGAGTTTCCCTGCACAAACTCTCTCTTGCCACTGCCATGTAAGAAGTGCCTTTTGCCTTCTGCCATGATTTTGAGGCCTCCCTAGACACGTGGAACTGCAAGCTTATTAAACCTCTTTATTTTGTAAATTTCCCAGTCTTGGGTATGTCTTTATGAGCAGCATGAAAATGGACTAATATGGTAAATTGGTACTGGGAGTTGGGCGCTGCTGGAAAGATATCCAAAAATGTCAAAGTGACTTTGGAACTGGGTAACAGGTGAGGTTTGAACAGTTTGGGGGGCTCAGAAGAAGAAAAGTAAATGTGAGAAAGTTTGGAACTCCCTAGAGACTTGTTAAATGGCTTTGTCCAAAATGCTGATAATGATATGGACAATAAAATCCAGGCTGAAGTGGTCGCAGATGGAAATGAGGAAATTATTGGAAACTGGAGAAAAGGTGACTTTTGTTACGTTTTAGCAAAGACTGGTGTCATTTTGCCCCTCCCCTAGAGATCTGTGGAACTTTGAACTTGAGAGAGACGATTTAGGGCATCTGGCAGAAGAAATTTCTAAGTGTCAAAGCATTCAAGAGGTACTTGGGTGCTGTTAAAGGCATTCAGTTTTATAAGGGAAGCAGAGCATAAAAGTTCAGATAATTTGCAGCCTGACAATGCGATAGAAAAGAAAATCCCATTTTCTGAAGAGATATTCAAACTGGCTGCAGAAATTTGCATAAGTAATGAGAAGCCAAATGTTAATCGCCAAGACAATGGGGAAAATGTCTCCAGGGCATGTCAGATGTCTTCATGGCAGCTCCTCTCATCAGAGGCCCAGAGGCCTAGGAAGAAAAAGTGATTTTGTGGGCTGGGCCCAGGGTCCTTGGGCTGTTGCAGCCCAGGGACTTGGTGCCCTGTGGCCCAGTTGCTTCAGTAGTGTCTGAAAGGGCCCAACATAGAGCTTGGGCCATGGCTACAGAGGGTGCATGCCATAAGCCTTGGCAGCTTCCACATGGTGTTGAGCCTGTGAGTACACAGAAGTCAAGATTTGGTGTTTGGGAACCTCTGCCTAGATTTCAGAAGATGTATGGAAACACTGGATGCCCAGGCAGAAGTTTGCTGCAGGGGCAGGGCCCTCATGGAGAAACTCTGCTAGGGCAGTAGAGAAGGGAAATGTGGGGTTGGAGCCCCACCACAGAGTGCCTACTGGGACACTGCCTAATGGAGCTGTGAGAAGACGGCCACTGTGTTCCAGTCCCCAGAATGGTAAATCCACTGATAGCTTGCACTGTGCACCTGAAAAAGCCACAGGCATTCAATGCTAGTCCATAAAGGCAGCTGGGAGGGAGACTGTACCCTGCAAAGCCAAAGGGGCAGAACTGTCCAAGACCGTGGGAACGCATCTCTTGCATCAGGCTGACCTGGATGTGAGACATGGGGTCAAAGGAGATCATTTTGGAGCTTTAAGATTTGACTGCCTCACTGGATTTCAGACTTGCATGGGCCCTGTAGCCCCTTTGTTTTGGCCAAATTGTCCCATTTGTAATGGCTATATTTACCCAATTCCTGTACCCCCATTGTATCTAGGAAGTAAATAACTTGCTTTTGATTTTACAGGCTCATAGGCAGAAGGGACTTGCCTTGTCTCAGATGAGACATTGGACTGTGGACTTTTGAGTTAATGTTGCAATGAGTTAAGACTCTGGGGGACTATTGGGAAGTCATGATTGGCTTTGAAATGTGAGAGATGAGTTTTGGGAGGGGCCAGGTGTGTAATGATATGGCTTGGCTGTGTCCCCACCCAAATCTCATCTTGAATTTAACTCCTATAATTCCCACATGTAGATGAAAGAACCTGGTGGGAGGTTATTGAATTATGGGGGCAGGCTTTTCCTGTGCTGTTCTCATAATAGGGAATGAGTCTTATGAGATCTGATGGTTTCAAAAATGAGAGTTGCCCTGCACAAGCTCTCTCTTGCCACCACCATGTAAAATGTGACTTTCACCTTCTGCCATGATTGTAAGGCCTTCCTAGCCACATGGAACTGTAAGTCCATTAAACCTCTTTCTTTTGTACATTGCCCAGTCTCAGTTATTTCTTTATCAGTATCATGAAAACGGACAAATACAGGACCCCACCCCTGCACCAAGATCTCTGCACAGGAAGGATGGGTCAGCCCAGGCTGCTGATTCAGGCAAGCTGGTGTTCCAAATGCCTAGAGATCTGCTTGTGCATGGAGTAGTGAGGGCCTTGCTGCACCATGAGCTATGTCCATGAAAGGTGGAGTGGCTCAGGCTGCTTAATCATACAAGCAGGGCTCTGAATGCCTGGAGATCTACCTGGGTGTGAAGCACAGAGGGCCTCCTTACACCAGAATCTCTGCACAGAAAGGGCAAGGTAAGTCAGGCTATTGATCCAGATGAGTGAGTGCTACAAATTCTAGGATTTTTGCATAGGCATGGAGTGGAAAAGGCCCTGCTTCACCATGATCTACATCCTTGAAGAGCCAAGCAGCTCAGGCTGCTTGGCTAGGCAAATGGGTGCTCCAAATACCTGGATTTCTTCCTGGGAGTTGGGCAGAGAGGGCCCTGCTGCACAATGATCTCAGGAGAACAGGCTGGGGCACATATCAATGGCACACACAAACTGATTTCAAGTCCCCAAGCTAGCCCTGGCTGCAAGTATTGCCACCTAAGAGAAATGGCTCTCCTCCCATCCCAGCTCTGTGATGAGGAAGAACACAATTCCAGTCCCTACTGCTGAGGTGGTTTCCACAGTTGTAGCTGTGGAGGTCCATTGCCTGCAACAGAGCAGGTGTTCCAGTCTCTAACCCAAGACTCAAATGTCTGCACAGCCACACTGCCGGGTTGTCAAAGAATGGCTGACATTGTGTGCACCCAGATTAAAAATGTCCTCCTGCTCTTAGTCCTGGGTCAAAAAAAAAAAAAATCTGCAACTTTTCCCAGTGCCTTTCCTTCACAGTGTCTCCAAGACTCTCCCCAAGTTAGCTCCCACATTTGGGAGAAACAAAATGCTCTTCCTCAGCCTTGGTTGCATGGATCCCTAGTGGAAAGGTGAGTCACAGAGGGAGGCTCCCTGCGTCTCTCACCCACTGGGGCTTTACTCACTTTTATCAGGCTCATGCTGTCATGGGGGTTATTTGCCAGCATTCTCCTTCCCAGGATCTGAGGTGCCCTTTCAATTCTGGTAGATTCCCGCTTTCCTTCTTGAATTAAAGCTTACAGAGTTATCTTTATGCACTATCTTGCTATATCTAAGTGGCTGAGGCATGCTAAAGCCTCTAATTCACCGTCCTTGGGGAAAAAAAAAGCTGAATTTTTTAGGCCCACTGACAAATCTGGACAAAATACCTAACTTTACCAAACTGTATTCCAGGTTTCCTCCTTCACTCAGGTCCCTCAGTGTGACTCACCATTAACCTGAAGAGGCATACAGTATCTCCTCAATACCCCCTCTTGAGACTTAGCACAAGACCTTCCTTGGTTAACTGTTCAACCCACCAACTCTGACACTTGGCTCTCCTCCCTATAAAAGAAAAGCCATTTCTGCCTGACATTTGTAAAATATACACAACTTATGGTCTGAACATTCTTTCTATAGTAATAGCCTCTTTCCGCAAACACAATACTTTTTCTGATTAAAGTCTTTCCTTGCCTAAGTCAAAATGTTTTATCTGATGAAATTATGCATTTATTTCTAGTTTAACCTGAATGTTTAACTACCTCTCTTCTATTTGTCTAATCTCTCTTTCACTTTAATGTTTTCCTTTTCTCGTGAACTCTTTTTTTTTTTTTTTTTTTTTTTTTTGAGACAGAGTCTCGCTCTGTCACCCAGGCTGGAGTGCAGTGGTGCAACTTTGGCTCACTGCAAGCTCCGCCTCCTCCTGCCTCAGCCTCCCGAGTAGCCAGTGCTACAGTAAGCAGCCACCACACCTGGCTAATTTTTGTGTTTTTAATAGAGACAGGGTTTCTACTAAGCCCCGTGCCTTTTAGCCAGGATGGTCTTGATCTCCTGACTTCGTGATCTGCCCGCCTCGGCCTCCCAAAGTGCTGGGATTAGAGGCGTGAGCCACCGCGCCTAGCCCAAACTCTTAGATTTTAATCTCATTATTCAACACGTGCTCATTAGGAATAACGTCCTCTGATCCATCTTGCAGTTGCCTTCTAGTTGTAAAATATGTTGTCTAATTAGACCTTTGCCTTTTCATTTTAAATGACTCTTATTTTTAAAGTTATTTTTCCTATCTGCTTGTATCATTCTTTTATTTCTTCATTTACGTTAAACATGTATTTATTATAAGAGATTCTTTGCACTTATTAATATTCCTGTTCGGTTGTATTTTCTGACTCTTAATCTTTAATTCTTTACTGTTGTGTTTTTGACCTCTTGATTATTGAACTTTCTGTAAAATTACTCACTACCATAATTTTGTAAGGGTGGTTTCTATTATCTTCTTCCAGGAAATAAAGGGATTTAACTAGACCAGTACCAATTATATGTTACCTTTGAAACTTGGATATTTCTATGCCATGCCGATTCTATTGTCAAACTGAAAACTGGTAGCAAGCACAAGTATACTTTTAAAATACTTATTACTTTTTACAGGAAAAGAATTCATGTACCCAGAACTCTGGGCAGAGAAAATCTTTAGGCCGTTTTTCCTGGCTGAGGTTCAGATTTTCTGGTGTATTTTAAGTTGAATATTGAGAGTCCTGAACCTATATGTAGGGATTTCCAGTTCCAAAGCTAGAACCCCCCAATCCCAGGGATTTATGTCATGTACTGAGAGGATATTAAAACTAATCAATCATTAGTACATACATACATACATACATACATACACACGTCACATGTGTACCTAAATAAGGTAATAGACCCTTTTCTTACAGTGCAAATACAAATAATAATTGTAAAAGGATTTGTGGAATTAGAAAAACAATTTTTTACCTTAATAGTCATAATTGATTAAGGCAAAAACTATGAATGGGTGAATGCTAAGGAGAGTTTGCAAGAATTTGATGAGGAACAGCTGAATTATAGAATCTCAAAGTACCTCTTCACAAATTATTTATAAATTGCAAGGAGAGTGTAGTCAATTTGTGAAGAAGAAGCATGGCTTTCACTAACATAAATGAACAAACTGAATATCACCAATAATTAGGCAAAGTGACATGATATACCTTTTCTTAAGTGTGCACTCAGATATTATCATGCCTGTGATATTCTTGACAAAATTTAACAAAAATCTAAATATAATAATAAGAAAACGTCAACCAAAGCTAAATTATGGAATAGAGTACAAAATAACCTTAGAGTACTTCTAAAAATGTAATGATCATGAATTAACAAACACGGTTAAAGAATTATTTCAGATTAAAGAAGTCTAGAAAGACATGAAAATTAAGCACAATGCATGCATCCTGAATAGCTTCATGTTCCAGGGAGGAAAGATCTAAAAATGACACTATTGGAACGATTAGAAAAGTTTGAATTTGGACTGTGAATTGTCATCAATGTTAAATTTCTTGATTTCAATAATTGTACTATGAAAGAGAATATGTTGCTCTTAAGAAATGCCCACTATAGGATTTAGGGATGAAGCAGCATAAAGACTGCAATTTATTCTCAAATATTTCAGAAGTAATCATATGTATATATATTATACATAGAGATATACATATATATCAATATATATATATATTTATACATATACATATGTGTACAGATAAATAGAAAATAATGCAAATAGCCAAAACTGTTAATAACTGTGAAATATTTAGTTTCTTGCAACTTTTCTATTATTTTAAATATCAAAATTAAAATTAACAAAAACAAAAATTAAAAATGAAACCAATCACCTAGGAATATATTTATTTCTACTTCTGTCATTCTCTCTTCAACATTGCTGCTTCAATATACTATTCACTTGGGGACTTTCTCCTCAAGCTTTTAGTTTCCTCTTTGCCTTTAATTCTATTTTTTTTTTTTTTGTACAACTTGGCTAGATATACTTTTTCTTTGTAATATTTTATACAGAATTTCTAGGATTTTAGAGGGAAAGGTGGTCCTCAGAAATACCTAAATTAGAAGTGTCTCATTGTTTTTCTACTTTTCCTTTGAGGCGTGACTCAAAAGAAAGATTCTCTGCCTAAAGGGAAAGCCCATTAAAGTAAATTTGTCTAATAGTCACATATATTCTTAACAATTTGCTTATTGAGAGACTGTCGTTGGCTCACCAAGATTCAAAAGCTGGTTTTACCATGCACTATCTCTGTGACAAGGATTGAGATTCTCTAATCTCCTGTATTTTCTTTCTTCTTTTTTTTAAATTATACTTTAAGTTCAGGATACATGTGCAGAACGTGCAGGTTTGTTACATAGGTATACACATACCATGGTGGTTTGCTGCACCCATCAGTACCTAATACCTACATTAGGTATTTCTCCTAATGCTATCCCTCCCCCGTCCCCCACCCCTGGACAAGCCCCGATGTGTAATGTTCCCCTCCTCGTGTCCATGTGTTCTCATTGTTCAACTTCCACTTATGAGTGAGAACATGTGGTGTCTGGTTTTCTGTTCCTGTGTTAGTTTGCTGAGAATGATGGTTTCCAGCTTCATCCATGTCCCTGCAAAGCTCATGAACTCATTCTTTTTTATGGATGCGTAGGATTCCATGGTGTATATGTGCCACATTTTCTTTATCCAGTCTATCATTGATGGGCATTTGGGTTGGTTCCAAGTCTTTGCTATTGTGAATAGTGCTGCAATAAATATATGTGTGCATGTGTCTTTACAGTAGAATGATTTATATTCTGTTGGGTGTATACCCAGTAATGGGATTGCTGGGTTAAATGGTATTTCTGGTTCTAGATCCTTGAGGAATTGCCGCACTGTCTCCCACAATGGTTGAACTAATTTACACTGCCACCAACAGTGTAAAAGTGTTCCTATTTCTGCACATCCTCTCCAGTATCTATTGTTTCCTCTCCTGTGTTTTCGTAGGTTAAATAAGAATAAAAATAATTATCTCATAAACCAGTATAATGAAGAATCATTCAGATGACAAAGAAGGATGAGATTAGAACAGGTGAATTGTACATTCTTACAGAGAAATGTCATCCATTTTAGAGCTGAAGAGCTGCTCTACCATTACAAACATTATTTGAAACCTATTGTCTGGTTGTTAAAAATAAAACAGTATGATCAGAACTATTGAAAGCAGTAGGAGGCTACTTGCATTTATCACTTAACATTAATCCAGATGACAAATAATTATAGATCCGTGTTTCTATATCTAGCAGTTATGCAGAAAATAAGTGAATGTGGCCCTAAATAGGATAAGAGAGATGGAGATTAAAGATAAAAATAGTGTTAAGTTCTTCTGGGAAACCATGGCAGGACTGCTTACACTGGAAATTAATGATTAGAGAAAGAAATGAGTAAAGATGGCAGTGAGAGTATAAATCTGAGAGAATAGAAGATTTGAGGTGTTTGCAATAGTAAAGCTAAATAGAAAGAGAGCCATAAGATAAAAATATGGAAGGTGACAACAACAACAAAACAACTTGATTTATTTTACTTTTAAATTACGTGCTTCAATTATACATGGTAAAAACACGATATCCATGTTTAGAATTTTAAAATGAATACCAACTTTATATTTTAATTATTTTTGTATCCTCATATCCTCATTTTTGTTGTTTCTTTATATTTTGCACAATTGCAATCTGTTTAACAAACATCATTCTCCTATTTCTTTAGATTCTTATATCTATATGTTAAAATTTTAACGTTCATAATTTAATAAGGTTATATACTGAATATATATATATACACACATGAACAGATATACACACATGTATTTGTATATACATACATATATGTGTGTGTACATACAAATATATACAATTTCTTGAGTCTTTTACTTTGATTTAGCTCATGATAATCTAGAGTTAGCCTTCAGGCAGATTTTTTTTCCACGAAAAATATATTATTACTATAAAGTGAGTTATTTAATTTTTTGTAAGTCTACCTGTTACCTTAAATTAAAATAGTCTTACCTGGACATCTAGATTGGGATAGTTTACACTGTAATAAAACCAAAAATAATTTAATTTACTTAAAGAAACACACAGTTGTTAACTTTGATACTGAATGTCCAGCACAGATCAGCAGTGAACTCTGTACACTGCACTAAATTATGAGCCCAAGTCCTAAAATCTGAAGTGGTTCAGCACAGCACAAGGAAATGAATGATCTGAGCTGCACTGTCCAAAAGGGCAGCCATTAGCTACGAGTCTTTCATCAAAACTAGTTAAAATCAAATAAAATTTGAAACTCAGTTCTTGAGTTGCACCTACCTAGTTGGCTGTATTCCTCGGTATTTTATTCTTTCTGTGGCTATTGGGAGAGGGATTCCATCTTTATTTGGCTCTCAGTTTGAGTGTGTGAAAGAGAAATAAATTTTGGGGTCCCCAAATCACTCAGCTAAAGGGAAAAGTCAAGTTGGAAACTGGGTCACGCAAACCTGTCTCCCCTTTTGGTTCCTAAAAGAGCCACAAGAAAAAAAGCTACATGTCTTCCCCATGTTTTGCCCACAAGGAAATCCTAGTGAGAGACACAACCTTTACCCTAAGGTGTTTCAGTTGAAATGTCACCATGGCAATGTAAATTGATTGCTTATCTTTACAGGTGCGGTTGCCCCCGGCCCATCAGACACAAATGCATGTTTGATTATTACCTTGCCCAATTTTGTCTATGTGATCTTATATAAAAATGTAGATTCTCTGCATTTTTCCTCTAGGCCAGTTCTATGTCATCTTATGTAAAAAAAAAAAAAAAAAATGCAGATTCACTGAGCCAGACAAAGGCATGAATGACTATTTTTCCCTACCTCCCTCTTACATGAAAATTGCGTACTTCTCAATATCCCACCCTTTCCCCTTTAAATTTGGAGCCCTCAAAATCATCTTTGGAGAAAGCCATAGACCTGTCTCTGGGGTATGTATCCTTAACTTTGGCAAATAAACCTTCTAAAATGATTGAAACTTGTCTCGTCGTTTTTTCTCTATTGATAGATGTTATTGTTATATAAAAATGCTACTGATTTTTGCCATTGATTTTGTATCCTGAACCTTTACTGAACTTGTTTATCAAATGTAGGAGCCTTTGGGCAGAGACTAAGGGTTTTTTTTTTTTTTTTTTTTTAGATATAGGGCATATTGTCTGTGAAAAAGATAGGTTGACATCCTATCTTCCTATTTGAATGCTGTTTAATTCTTTCTCTTGACTGATTGCTCTGGCTGGAATTCCCAGTATTATGCTGAATAGGAGTGGTGAGAGTATCATTGTCTTGCTCCAGTTCTCAAGGAAAATGCTTTCAGTTTTTGCACGTTTAATATGATGTTGGCTGTGGGTTTGTCATAGATGGCTCTTATTATTTTGAGGTATGTTCCTTTGATGGCTAGTTTGTTGAGGGTTTTTATTATGAAGGGATATTAAATTTTATTGAAAGCTTTTTCTGTGTCTATTGAGATGATCATATGGTTTTTAATTCTGTTTATGTGATGAATAACATTTATTGATTTGCATATGTTGAACTAACCTTGCAATCCAGGTATAAAGCTTACTTAATCATGGTGCATTAACTTTTTAATATAGAGTTGGACTTGATTTGTGGGTATTTTTTTGAGAATTTTTGTGTCTATATGAATCAGGAATATTGGCCCTTAATGTTTTTGTTTTGTTTTGTTTTGTTTTGTTCTTGTGTGTCTGCCCCGTTTTGGTATCAGAATAATGTTGGCCTCATAAAATGAGTTAGGGAGGAGTCTCTCATGCTCAAGGTTTTGGAATAATTTCAATAGGATTGATACCAGTTTTTCTTTGTACATTTGTTAGAATTTGGCTGTGAATCCACCTGATCCAGTGTTTTTTGTTTGTTTGCTTGTTGTTGTTTTTTTTATCTTGGTTGATACCTTTTTAATTACAGATTCTGTCAGAACTCAGAACCCATTATTGGTCGGTTCAGGATTACAATATCTTCCTGGCTCAATCTTGGAAGGTTGTATATTTCTAGGAAGTTATTAATCTCTTCCAGGTTTTCTATCTTGCATACATAAAGGTGGTCATAATAGTCTCTGAGGGTTCATTGTAATTCTGTGTTTGGTGGTAATGTCACTTTTGTCATTTCTGATTGCGTTAATTTGGATCTTCTCTGTTTTTTTTATTAGGCTAGTTAATGGTCTACTAATGTTTATTCTTTTTTTTTTTTTTTTTTTGAGACGGAGTCTCGCGCTGTCGCCCAGGCTGGAGTGCAATGGCGGGATCTCGGCTCACTGCAAGCTCCGCCTCCCGGGTTCACGCCATTCTCCTGCCTCAGCCTCCCAAGTAGCTGGGACTACAGGCGCCCGCCACTACGCCCGGCTAATTTTTTGTATTTTTAGTAGAGACGGGGTTTCACCGTTTTAGCCGGGATGGTCTCGATCTCCTGACCTCGTGATCCGCCCACCTCGGCCTCCCAAAGTGCTGGGATTACAGGCGTGAGCCACCGCGCCCGGCCATGTTTATTCTTTTGAACTTTGGATTTCATTGATCTTTTGTATGGATTTTTGCATCTCAATTTTATTCAGTTCAGCTCTGATTTTGGTTATTTCTTCTGTTAGCTTAGTGGTTGGTTTGCTCTTGTTTTTCTAGTTTATCTAGGTGTGATGCTAGGTAGATAATTAGAAATCTTTCTAAATTCCTTATGTAAGCATTTAGCACTTTCCTCTTGACACTGCTTTGGCAGTGTCCCAGATTTTCTGTGGTGTGTTGTATCTTGGTTTCTATTAGTTTTAAAGCTTTTTTTTTTTATTCTGCCTTAATTTTATTTACCTAAATTCATTTAGGGGAAAGTTGTTTAGTTTTCATGTAATTGTATAATTCTGAGACTTATTCTTGGTGTTGACTTCTATTTTTATTGTGCTGTGGTCCAATAGTGTGATTGCTATGTGTATTAGGACATTCTTACAGTGTTATAAAGACGTATCTGAGACTGGCTAATTTATAAATAAAAAAAAAGAAGTTTAATTGACTCACAGTTCTGCATGGCTGGGGAGGCCTCAGGAAATTTACCATCATTGTGGAAGGCAAAGGGGAAGCAAGGTATGTCTTCATATGGCTGGCAGAAGTGAGGGGAGGTGCTACACACTTTCAATAAACCAGATCTTTTGAGAACTCTACCATGAGACAACACTATAGGGATGGTGCTAAACCATTAGAAATCACCCCCATGATCCAATCATCTCCCACCAAGCCCCCCCTTTAACACTTGGGATCACAATTCAACATGAGAGCTGGGAAGGGACATAGAGCCAAACCATGTTATTCCTCTCCTGGCTCCACCCAAATCTCATGTTCTTTTCACATTGCAAAATACAATTATTCCTTCTTAACAGTCCCCTAAAGTCTTAACTCATTCCAGCATTAACCCAAAAGTTCAAGTCCAAAGTCTCATCTGAGAAAAGCAAGTCCCTTCCACCTATGAGCCTGTAAAATAAAAAAAAAATAAGTGAGGTACTTCCAAGACACAGTAGGGGTACAGGCATTGGGTAAATTCTCCTGTTGCAAAAAGGAGTAATTGGCCAATACAAAGGGGCTCCAGGCCCTATGCAAATCTAAAACCCAGCAGAACAGTCATTAAATCTTAAAGCTCGAAAATATTCTTTTTTGACTCCATGTTTCACATCGAGGCCACACTGATGCAAGGGGTGAGCTTCCAGTTCTTGGGCAGCTCCACTCCTGTGGGTCTGCAGGTACAGCCCCTGCAGCTGCTTTCATGGGCTGGGATTGAGTGCCTGTGGCTTTTCCAGGTGCACAGTGAAAGCTGTCAATGGATCTACCATTCTGGGGTCTGGAGGATGTTAGCCCTCTTCTCACAGCTCTGCTAGGCAGTCCCAGTGAGGACTCTCTGTGGGGGCTCCAACCTCACATTTTCCCTCCACACTGCCCTATTAGAGTTTCTCCATGGGAGCTCTACTCCTGCAGCAGACTTCTGCCTGGATATCCAGGTGTTTTCATACATCCTCTGAAATCTAGGCAGAGGCTCCCAAGCCTTAATTCTTCCCTTCTCTATACCAGCAGGCTTAATAGTGACACAGGAAACAGAAAGTAATTATTTATGCAGACAGTGAGGATAAAAGAGTCCTCAGTGGAATTTCCCTTTTAACAAAAAAGCAGCCCCCAAATCATTTCTTTCCTAACAAAGAGCAGCATGAAAAATAAAGCTGAAAACATGCGTAAGAAAGCTGGAAGCTTGCATAGAGGAATGCTGGCAGCTCTGCCAGTAGAAAAAGGCTACTGAGGGCCAGGCGTATCCAACATGGAGGCTCCATCTTCCCTTTTCTTTGTCACCACATGTACAGTAAATAAATAGGCAACATGGTGCTGGCCAGGTAGAGAATCCATCTGTCTTATAAAAGATTATAGTGGGGGCATCCACCTTTTCATGTGCTATGCAAATGGCAAACGTCAACCTGGCCATCTCTGTCCATATCACTATTAGCTTTTTGGTCACAACCATTCAGCAAGTCTCTAGGAATTTCCAAACCTTCCCTCATCTTCCTGTCTTCTTCTGAGCCCTCCAAACTGGTACAACCTCTGCCCATTATCCAGTTCCAAAGTTGCTCCCTCACTTTCAGGTGCCTTTATAGCAATGCCCCACTTCTGTGGTACCAATTTTCTGTATTAGTCCGTTCTCAAACTGCTATAAGACATAACTGAGACTGGTTAATTTATACAGAAAAGAGGTTTAACTGACTCACAGTTCCACATGGTGTGGGGAGACCTCAGGGAAGTTACAATCATGGTGGAAAACAAATGTGGGGAGACCTCAGGGAAGTTAAAAACATGGTGGAAAGCAAATGGGAAGCAAGGTACATATTCACATGGCTGGCAGGGGAGAGAGAGAGAGAGAAAAAAAAGAAGAAGAAGAGGAAGAGGAAGAAGAAGAGGAAGAAGAAGAAGAAAGAAAATAAGGAGGAGAAGGAGGAGAGGAAAGAGGAGAAAGAGGAAAGGAAAGAGAAGGAGAAGGTGGAGCTACACACACTTAAACAACCTAAACAACCAGATCTTGTGAGAACTCTGTCACAAAGCAGTACTAGGGAGATGGAGCTACAAATAGAAACCACCCCCATGATCCAATCACCTCCCACCAGGCCCTCTCTCCAATACAATTAAACATGAGATTTGAGTGGGGACACAGACCCAAACTGCTATCAGTACGATTTTGGTTATTTTGAATTTGTTGATAATTGCTTTATGGTATAGCATGTGGTCGATCTTAAGAGTATGTGCTGTTCGGATGAGAAGAATGTATATTCTACTGTTTTGGGGTAGAGTATTCTGTAGATATATTTTAAGTCTATTTGACCAAGTGCTGAGGTTAGGACCCAAATATCTTAGTTTTCTGCCTCTATGATCTCTCTAACACTGTGAGTAGTGAATTGAAGTCTCCCACTATTATTGAGTGGTTATCTAAGTCTCTTCTGCAGTCCCTAGAAACTTGTTTTATGAATGTGAGGGCTCAGATGTTGGGTGCATATATATTTAGAATTGATTCCTTTTATTGAATTAAACCCTTTATTATTATGTAATGCCTTTCTTTGTCCTTTTTGATTGTTGTTGGTTTAAAGTTTGTTTTGTCTGAAATAAGAATAGCAACCCCTATTTGCTTTCTGATTTTTTTATAGGTCTTTCTCCACCCCTTTACCTTAAGTCTGTGGATGTTACTGGATGTGAGAGCTGTCTCTTGAAGACAGCATAGAGTTGAGTCTTGCTTCTTTATCCAACTAGTCATTTTGTGAATTTTAAATGGGACATTTAGCTTGTTTACATTCAAAGTCAATAATGATATGTTTGGATTTGACCCTGTCATTGTGCTCTTAGTTGGGTGTTATGTAGACCTGATTGTATCTTGTGTTCATAGTATCATTAGTCTATATACTTAGGTGTATTTTCATTGTGGCCAGTATTGGTCTTTCATTTCTATTTTTGGCACTTTCTTAAGGACTTCTTATAAGGCAAGTCTGCTGGTAACAAGTTTTTTTAGTGTTTGCTTGTCTGAAAAGGGTTTTATTTTTTCTTTGCTTATGAAGCTTAGTTTAACAGAATATGAAATTCGGGGTTGGAATTTCTTTTCTTTAAGGATGCTTTAGATAGGCCCCCAATTTCCTTTGGCTTGTAAAGCTTTTTTCTGAAGGGTCTACTGTTAGCCTAATGAACTTCCCTTTGTACATGACTTCTCTCTCCCTACCTGTCTTAAGATTTTTTTCCTTTCCATTGTCCCTGAAGAATCTCATGATTGTGTGTATTGGGGATGATCCTCTTGTACAGTATTTCTCAGGGTCTTTTCTGAATTTCCTTATTTTCATGCCAGCCTCTCCAAGGTTTGGAAATTTTCATGGACAATATCCCCAAATACGTTTTCCAAGTTGTTTTCTCTCTCTCCGTCTGTTTCAGGAATGCCAATGAATCACAGGTTTGATTTCTTTACATAATCTCATGTTTCTTGGAGATTAAGTTCATTTTTTAAATTTTTTTCTTTTTTTTCCTTTTTTTATCTGCCTGTGTTGATTTAAAGGAGGAGTCTTCAAACTCTGACATTCTATTTTTTTTTTTGAGACGGAGTCTCGCTCTGTCGCCCAGGCTGGAGTGCAGTGGCGCGATCTTGGCTCACTGCAAGCTCCGCCTCCCAGGCTCACACCATTCTCCTGCCTCAGCCTCCCGAGTAGCTGGGACTACAGGCACCCACCACCCATGCCCAGCTAATTTTTTGTATTTTTAATAGAGACGGGTTTTCACTGTGTTAGCCAGAATGGTCTTGATCTCCTGACCTTGTGATCCACCAACCTCGGCCTCCCAAATTGCTGGTATTACAGGCGTGAGCCACTGTGCCCAGCCCAAACTCTGACTGACATTCTTTCCTCAACTTGGTCTATTCTGTTATTAATGCTTCTAATAGCATTATGAAATTTCTGTGTGAATTTTTTATTTCCAGAAGTTTAGTTTGGTACTTTCTTAAAATGGTTATGTTGTCTTTCATCTCCTGGTTTGTTTCACTGCATTGCTTTAATTGGGTTTCAGTTGTCTCCTGTATCTCATTAAGCTTCCTTGCCATCCAGTTTCTGAATTCCCTGTCATTTCAGCTATTTTAGCATGTTTAAGAACCATTACTGGAGAGCTAGTGTGGTTATTTGAAGGTAAGTAGACACTCTGGCTTTTAGAGTTGCCAGAATTCTTGCACTGGTTCTTTCTCATATGTATGGCCTTACGATCCTTTAATGTTTAAAGATGCTCTCTTTTGGATGGTCATTTTGCTTTTATATTCTTTTTTGCCTTCAGGGTTTGATTTGTGGAATAAGTTGGGTTTAGTCAATTGGCTTCGGTCCTGGATGCTTTGAGGGGGTCAAGGCTCAGTCCAGCATTTCTTGTGCTGTGTAATCTAACTCTGGGCAATTGAGACCTGGACCATGGCTTTGTTCTCTTGCCCCTCAATGCAAAGTACATCCTGCACTAGAGGACCTAACAGGTTCCAAGTTCAATGGCTACAATACTTTCAACGGGGATGCTGGTGAAAGTGCTGCAGTATGGTGGTGGTGGGGTTGTGGGAGAGTGTGCTGTGGTGGGGTAGGAGCACACACATAAAAGAGTGTGCTCCAGAAGGGTAGTAAGTGTCCCTATGTGCATGCATGCTGGCAGAGTAGTGGTGGACAAGTGCATACCAGCAGGGGAAGGCTACAGGTGGGTGTGCATTGGTGGAGGTCCAGCTGAAAAAGCTCTCTGATGGGTAGGCAGGGGCTCCTGGCCAGAGAGCTATGTTGGTGGCCACTAGCCAGTGTTTTTCTGGGGCAGCAGAGGTTACACGGCAAGTAGGACCCTGGAAGAAGCCCACGGACAGAGGTGTGTTCAGATCATCCTGATCCTGTCCTATGGGCGAGACAACCTTCTCTCTCCAGGTCTGGCTGTTAATAATAGCTAAAACCACATAGATAAATACAGTGAACCTTGGGGGATGGGTGCCCATGCCCATGCTCCAATGCAGTTGTTCCCATGCCAAACCCTCAGGACTCCACACATACTGGAGTTCTGTATGTTCCAAATCTCTGAGGTGTTCTTTCTGCCAAATAAAATATTTGTGGAGGCCATGGGGTCTCCCATAGCTAGGATACTCAAGGTCCATGGTGAGTGTCTACCACTCCAAACCTATTTCCCTCACCCCTTCCCTAGGAGTTGCTTGGGGCCAAGCACAAGTTCTGGTGCTTAGCAATCCGGCACAGGGTTCCCAGCTTCCTCTCATTTGAGCCCTGGGTCTCTGTCCTTTCTGTATCCACTTTTAATGCCTTCTTTCCCAAGATCTGTTCAGAGTATGCTGGTCTACTTGATGATCTGGTCTCTCTTTGTGGGAGAAACTCTTCCTGGCTGTGTCTAGTTGGCCCTCATGACTCTTACAATATGACCTTTTTAAAAATTATATCTAGCTTTCAAATAAATAATTATTCTTAACTTTTATGCATTTGATATCATATGAAAAAGATTGTGAAGGAAGGCATGTCTCCCTGTAGTCATTATCAAGTAATTTACTAAGAAAAAAATTCATAATATCTCCATGGAAGAATATATTTAAATGATACAAAGTGAAACTGTCCTGTATACTACTGCTATTATAAATATGCTCTACAGATAGGTTTTGATACTTGAACTGATAATTCTGTACTATAAGTACAGAAATTGAGACTAAGCTTTTAAGAACAATTGTCTTAACATAGTGATTTTTGTATGTTGTATCTAATGATAATAATAATTGTGTTTGCATTTTGTACATCTATAATATTTTAATGTAATTTTTTAGTAATTATATATTTACATGTTTTGTTCATGATGGATTAGAAATTTATATAAAACCCAAAACAAATAAAAACAAAATAAAAACCAAAAAACTATTACTTTACCACAGAGTGAATATCACACAAAATAAAATTCACATAAAATTCCATATAAAATTTGCATAAAATATGAATCCTAGCCCTATGTCACCTATGCACAAAAATTAACTTGAAATTGATGATAAATTTAACTATAGGAATTAAAACTGTACAAATTTACAAGAAAATAGGAGAAAATCACAATGACCTTGGGTTTGGCAATGTTTCTTAAATCAAATACAAAAAGCAAAACATAGAAAGTATGGATAAATTCTACATGATCAAAATTTAAAACTTTTACTCTTAAATAGAAAGTTTTTAGAAAATTAAAAAGAAAGTTACATTGTGAGGAAAAAGATTTGCAGAAGTTATGTGACAAAGGAGTTGTAACCTGAATATAAAAACAATGTGTATGACTCAATAATAAGACAAAAAATCAAATCAAACAAACTGCAAAAAATTTGTCCATGCTATACCAAAGAAGATATGTGTGTAATAAATAATCACTTGACAAGAAGCCAAAAAGTTAATAATTAGGGAGATACAAATATAAATTATAAGTAATTTATGTATCTTTAGTAATTAGGGAGATACAAATTAAAATGTGATGTCACTACATATTCCTAAAATGGTTATAATGAAAAACACATAAAATAACTAGCATTAGAGAGTGTGGAGAAATGAGAACTCTTCTACATTAGTCATTGAAAATCAAAACAGTACAGCTACTTTAGAAAAAAAGACTCACAGCTTTTTGTATTACTTTGTGTTGTTTTGTTTTGTTTTAATAAACTTTAACATATACTTACCATATGACCCACCAATTACACTACTGTGAATACACTAAAGAAAAAGAAACCTAATTCCACACAATTATATCAACTTTATTTATAATAAGCATGAACTGGAAACACACTAAATGTGTGTAAATTTGTGCATTATTAAATTATGTTTTATTGATCCAATGGAACTAAACTCTGCAATATAAAGAAGTGGATTACTGACATATCAACAATATGAATGTATCTCAAAAGTACAATGCTAAATGAAAAAGGACAGGTATTTGAAAAAGACATACATACTGTATAATTCCATTTTTATTCTAGAGAAGAAAAACTATAGTGAGAGACTGAAAATAAGTGGTCAAGGTATTAAGAAAGGGACTTGAATGCCAAGAGACAGGCCTGAACACTTTTGGTAGTGGAAATATTCTATTTCATAATTTTGCTGATATGATTACATGACTGTATACATCTGTCAAAAAGTATCAAACTTATAATGAATATTGTTGAATTTTGTTTGTTAAGTGTTCCTCTATAAAGCTAACAGAAAAAAAATAGCCTGATAATAGGGCTAGAATTATAGATTTGACCATCATTTGAATGGATGTAAAAGGGCTAAATTTCAGAACTCATTTATATAGTGCATGAATAGAAAGTTTAGGTACCAACTTTTAACTATAGGCTTTTTAAGACAAAAACCTAGATAGATCATATGAGCTATCAGAGTCATTGAATAAGAAAATCTTCTAACTTTCCGTAACTTTAACCACAGCCATCCACAGTCTCTCTGCTATCAAAATTGTGAAGCTTTCATAATTTTAATAGAATGAAGCTAAGATATTTTTAAAAATCTGCCCAAATACAAATAAAGGCTATATTTATGGTGGTAAACAGAGTTATCAGCACATATTTAGATATATTAACTGCAAATTCACTGTTCTGAGACTGTTGAAGGCTTGAATCGTATCTTAAAAATGATACAAGAGGCACAAAATGATTATCTCTAGTGGGAGTTTTCTGTAAGCATGCATAGTAAAGAGGGCTCAGAATATCAACTACCAATAGCTGGAAAATGGGTTGTGAAAAAAAGTGTTGGGTATTTATTTTAAATTCTAGCTCAGTATTAGGACTGATATTAATAGAGTTCTTTGTATGGAACTAGGGCACAGGTGGGTTGAAAAAAGCGTGGGATGGATAATAAGACAATAAACACTAAAGCTTTTACTAAGACATATTAATTTTAAATTTTTCAATGCTTTTCCAACTTCCAGGAAGCTATTTGTGCTATAAAATATTTCTACTGTTTGAATTAATTAATTAATTCCATTTTTTTCTCCCTTGGATTTCCACATTTTAGGAAATGATTTATAGCTGAAGTTTGACCGACTTTGAGTGAAACTTTTCTAATGCCCCAGAATGAAATTTTAGCAGTCTGGTAGAACGTTTCTTGTCAATGTTTAAAGAATAAGCATTCATAGGTAAACAAACTGTTCTTTCCATTCATGCAAGTAATATAACAGAAACAGTAGAAACCTGTGAGGTTAAACTTATGAAGACATACTGATATCTGAGCCCCAGAGAATGTATTTACTGGTGACTAAAAGGAATATTATCTTGATTATTTGTAGAATTTATCTTATCCAAACCTATGTCTCTCTTTTTTGCTTTCGGTAGGGAAACTATATATATGTTCAAAGTCTCACTCTCTTAAAAATTTCTCCTCAGAGGCTAAGACATGAGGGAGATGCTTCTTTGCTATGCATATATTCATCACAGGAGAGATGTGTCTTTTTGAGCATGAAGTTGTGTGTCGGACCAATAATGTGAAACTTTTGCTTTTATGCTTGAATTAAAATATTGCTCTGGGCTCTTATCCCACTCAACAAAGCTCAGACTTTTATTTGGTATCATTTTTATTGCTGCTCTGCAAGTTCTATTTTATTCTTGAATAAGGAAGTCATGCTGTGAAGTAAAGGCTCTGTTCACTTTAAAGTACCTAAAGCCCTTGGAAAATGGCTTTAAACCTTGTTCTGCATCAGCTGAGCATGGTGAAATTTATATAATTGTCAAAGTCATGGATTTCACCTTAAACTCTAAACAAACCAACAGAGTTCCAGAAATAACCCCACAATTTTTTTCCTCGTATATTCTGCTTTTTTATACTTAACGTAGTGTTTATAAGACCCTTCATGGTAAGAAAATGGTCATTTAATTTATGTTATTTGAGAAGCACCAGGAAGTTTCTTTTTTTTTTATTATACTTTACGTTTTAGGGTACATGTGCACAACATGCAGGTTTGTTACATATGTATACATGTGCCATGTTGGTGTGCTGCACCCATTAACTCGTCATTTACATTAGGTATATCTCCTAATGCTATCCCTCCCCCCTACCCCCACCCCACAACAGGCCCCAGTGTGTGATGTTCCCCTTCCTGTGTCCATGTGTTATTGTTCAATTCCCACCTATGAGTGAGAACGTGCGGTGTTTGTTTTTTTGTGCTTGCGATAGTTTGCTGAGAATGGTGGTTTCCAGCTTCATCCATGTCCCTACAAAGGACATGAACTCATCATTTGTTACGGCTGCATAGTATTCCATGGCGTATATGTGCCACATTTTCTTAATCCAGTCTATCATTGTTGGACATTTGGGTTGGTTCCAAGCCCTTGCTATTGTGAATAGTGCCGCAATAAACATACGTGTGCATGTGTCTTTACAGCAGCATGATTTATAATCCTTTGGGTATATACCCAGTAATGGGATGGCTGGGTCAAATGGTATTTCTAGTTCTAGATCCCTGAGGAATCGCCACACTGACTTCCACAATGGTTGAACTAGTTTACAGTCCCACCAACGGAGTAAAAGTGTTCCTATTTCTCCACATCCTCTCCAGCACCTGTTGTTTCCTGACTTTTTAATGATCACCATTCTAACTGATGTGAGATGGTATCTCATTGTGGTTTTGATTTGCATTTCTCTGATGGCCAGTGATGATGAGCATTTTTTCGTGTGTCTTTTGGCTGCATAAATGTCTTCTTTTGAGAAGTGTCTGTTGATATCCTTTGCCCACTTTTTGATGGGGTTGTTTGTTTTTTTCTTGTAAATTTGTTTGAGTTCTTTGTAGATTCTGGATATTAGCCCTTTGTCAGATGAGTAGATTGCAAAAATTTTCTCCCATTCTGTAGGTTGCCTGTTCACTCTGATGGTAGTTTCTTTTGCTGTGCAGAAGGTCTTTGGTTTAATGAGATCCCATTTGCCAATTCTGGCTTTTGTTGCCATTGCTTTTGGTGTTTTAGACATGAAGTCCTTGCCCATGCCTATGTCCTGAATGGTATTGCCTAGGTTTTCTTCTAGGGTTTTTATGGTTTTAGGTCTAACATTTAAGTCTTTAATCCATCTTGAATTAATTTTTGTATAAGGTGTAAGGAAGGGATCCAGTTTCAGCTTTCTACATATGGCTAGCCAGTTTTCCCAGCACCATTGATTAAATAGGGAATCTTTTCCCCATTTCTTGTTTTTGTCAGGTTTGCTATCCAAACTTCTTAATGAAGCAAAGTATCATGAAAAAAAAGTCTTTATAGGTATTGACCAATTACAAGAATATAAACTGTAGTAGTTAAAAGCTGCATGCCTTCTGTAAAAGTCTGTGTAATATTTAATGACTATAACCACAGAGAACATCCCAGTATTAATTTGCATGTTAATGCCTACAAAGGCATATTAGCATAATTTTTATACATCCTTGTTGGAGTGTATGTGTTGATATTTATGCAATGTTTTTTTCACTTTTGCTTTCACTTTCTTTAAAACTGCATGCATTTATTCTCTGTAATTTTATTTCTTCTCCACTGGATCACTTCCCAAATATAATTTTTTTCATGGCCTTAGATTTCTATATAATTTTGGTCATAAACTTTATTTCCTTCCAATTCTCCATTCCAATAATTCTGCCTTTCTCACTGCCACTCTATCCATGAAATTCTTATTCCTGGTAATCCACCCAGTTGGGATCCATGCATTCTCCTCTATTTACTTTTTGATGTCGCTCATTTTAGGAAAGTAGGCTGCCATCTCTGTCATCCCCATTCTATACAAATTTAACATTTTAATCAAGCTCATTATATGTATGTCAAAAAATAATGCTATAGGAAGTATGAGAATCCATTGCCCTAGTTCACTTCTGGTTCTGATTTAGTAGCGATAATTCTTTTCTAGCAGGGGCCAAGGTGAGTCACAGCTCAAGTTATTGCTAGCCTTATTCTTCATCCTCTTTGATTTTTTTTTTTTTCTGTTAAGGCTAAGCAGTTTTCATCCTTTGCTTTTATTTGACTGTACGTTTCAGAACAAGTGAAAGGTCACTCAGACATTATCTCTATACTTGACATTTCCCTGATTCTTTTTATTCTCTTCCTCTTCCCTACACCCTTTCCCTTCCATGCAGTATGCTCATGTTCCTTCTCAAAATTTTCTCAGAAGTTTTTTTTTTCCCCCACTGTATCAGGGAATAAAGGATGTATCTAGCAGTTATCTTTTTCTTGTATTGGAAAATGTAAAGAAGAAATGAGGGTACCCTCATTTGATCATCAAAATATTGTCTTATTTCTCTTATCTTTTATATCTAAGCTTCTTAAGTAAGTGTTCTTTGTCAGCTCCCATTTCTCATTGCATATTCCCTCTGTAGTCTTCTAGAATTTGATTTCCTTTCCAATAACCACATTTAAATTATTCCATAACTTTGCCTGTAATTTTCTCCCAAAATGCACTGCTTTATTTTCTTTCATCTTTAAAATTGTTAATTCCTGACTATCCTTCTCACATCACCTTTCTTGACTTCTGTGATACTGTTTGCATTTTCCTCCATCTAGCTTCCTTTCTTCCCTTCATCAGAGTCTGTCATTTCTCTTACCCTGTTTTAAGAATCTCTATTTTTATTAATTAGTGAATAACTACATAATTTACATCTTCAGCACAGATCACTTGTTAATTATTATTATTGTCTTGTACCTTCTCTGATAGAAATGCATTTATTCTCTTTTTCATCTCAATGAAGTTACTCCTGCATTTCTCCATCTCTGTTAGCATCCCCTGTACTTACCACTTAGTACATTTCTGATATTGTACTGTTTTCATTCAATTGCCCTTTTGGCACACTCCCTTTTCTATATTCAGCTAAAAAATCATATTTTATTTCTCTTCAAATCTTTATGATTTAACTCATTGCTTGTATTTCCACAACTACTGCATTATAGCAAGCAAACTTCTTCTCATCTATGTACTACTCTATTAGCTTTCTTCATTTTTTCAATTGATTCTATATGAAGATGCCAGAATAACAAATATCAAGTAGCAATATCATGTTATCACAATAGTCAATAACCATCTTATTATTTTCTATGATATCAAAACCAGTCTTCTTTGAGGAGTCAACACTCTGTTACATATTCATTTACATTTTAAACTTTAACTAAAGATCAAATATGACTGAGAAAATATTTGTCTTCTCCTTCCATCCTATTACTTGTTCTTATCCACAAACCAATAATATGTCTTCTTTACTCTCTTGACAATAAAAAATCACATTCAAAATGTACTTCTCGAAATCCTAAAATCATGACACTTTCATAATTTCTAATTTCATCTCCTTTCAGTTCCTATATGCATAGATGTATAAAATATTTCATCTCCATATGTTTTTATAACTAATGTATTGTTCCTACCTAAATCCCCATAAGATAATTGCTTATAATGACTTAAAAACTTAATGTTTATTCATTTGGAAAGGAAAGACTTTATAGGTTTATCATATAGGATTCTTTTCTAAGTCATATATAGGATTATTTATTTTTAATAATCATTAAATAAGTAATAATGCTGACATATTTTTTCTTCCTGAATTTCAACTTTCAGTATTCTTGCTGCTTCAGAATAAGGAGGTATTTTGGAATGCAGTCTCATCTTGTTGCTTAACCTCAACATACATGCAGAAATATGGTCATTATAAACATATTGGGAAGTAGGAGTTCACCTACTGAAATTTTTCTCTTTACAGACTTGCAAATTTTTGAAAGGTATGTTATATAAAAAACTGAGCTAATTCTGTTTATACAATATGCTTTCTGAGGAAAAAACCTTTTATTTTGATTAAAAAATTAAAAATCTTTGGAAGGGAGAAGCTAATCAAGTTTATATAGGCAACGTAAGAATATACTGCTTCCAAAATTAACTTCAAATATGCAGTAATAATTTTTGTTTACATGTTTAGAATTAAATAAGTTAAAGTATCATATCTACTTACTAAAAGGTAATATTTTTGATATATTTTTAAAGTACTCTAAGTTAAGTAACTCAGGAATGGAAAATCTAGTATCTTATGTTCTCACTTAAAAGTGGGAGCTAAGCTATGAGGATGCAAAGGCATAAGAATGATATAATGAACTTTGGGGAGCCAGGAGGAAGACTGAGAGTAGGGTGAGAATAAAAGACTACATATTGGGTACAATGTTCACTGCTCAGATGATGGGTGCATGGGAATCTCAGAAAGCACCGCTGAAGAACTTATCCATGTAACCAAAAAGCACCTATTTCTCAAAAACTATTGAAATAAAAAAGTACAGTCTGTGATTTATGCTAACAAATGTAAGACTCTCTCATACTTTGTGGTACATTAACAAATCTAATTTCATCCTTTCATTAGAAAGTTATTCTCATTTTCTATTAAAAAGACTTTTTTTACATTAATTACTAACTGATCCCATCCTCTCCACTAATAACCAATATATAACCTCAGATTCTAGTTCACCACATTACACACTTTGATATTGCAGCTTTTACTCCTTTGGAATTGTGTAATTGGGCATCGAATAAAATAGGCATCACTTGTTTTATAATGGAAATATTCTCTTCCCATGCTTAAGAAAAAAAAAAGCACATGCTATCAAAATATCAAAAAACATGACCAGTTTCAGTTTCCTAAGGCATTTATGATTTACAAAGATTCATTATTCTGTTTACTTAAGAACATTGCTAACAACTTTTTCTATTTTAGCTGCTACTCTTAGAGTACTGTCTGATAAATAGTTGAAAAACCTCCTACAACAGGGTAATGAATGAAAGGAATACTTCCTGTGGTATGAATGACTTTAAAGGAACATTTTGAATATAAGTGGATTTTTGAAATTTTAGCCCATTGTACCACATTATTTCCTAGTACATATGATGTGGGAAAGAAGTATTTGCATCAATTATGCTGTACACAAATTATCAAATAATAAGGCTTTAGTTTAATACAAGTCATACACTCTTCAAATAGGAATTATTACCTTAGAAATTATCTTTATGGTGTATTCCATTACCACAAATCTCTTGTTTAAAGTTCAAGGAAATATTTAAATATTACATACCTTTTGGTACAATACTTACAGATCCAGGGATATTTGAGTCCTAAGGAATAAGGAGTAGTAATTCCCTAGTTATCACCAAAAATATGATGGCAAGTCTCTGACTAACTTTGCCTCGTTCTTTTTTTTCTCTGCTTATGCATCTAAGCATATATCCATCGTTTGGGCCAGTTAGCATAAGCACCAGGAGTTAAGTCTTCTAATTGAAGAACCAATGAGGAAAATGCATTTTTATACTCTTGTAGGTATTCATGCTGTTTCTACACACACAGACACACACACAGAGATATTTTATAGTGAGGATATGGGCACTTAATACTATGCTTGTCATTAACTGCACACTCAATCAATTTTAATATATGTGTGTTTTAATTTCTTCCTGTCTAAATATTATTTTCCCCTAGCAATGATTCCTATAAAAATGAGTGTTATTAACTTGAAAATGTAGCAATATAAGTAAAAAGCTATGGGCTAATTAGTAATTAAACAGTAGTCTCTGTAGCCAGTTTAACTAGGAAAATGCTTGTATCAGTTTGCTTTTGCTGTATAACAAAACACCAGTACTGAATGGGTAAAAACCATCATCATTTATTTAGTTTGAAACCTTGTGGGCAGTAAGTGGACTAGGTTTAAATGAGCAGAGCTTCATCTCTCGTGGATGCACTTACGGGCCTACCATCAGCAGCCAGCCAACTGGCCATCTCTGCTTCTCTGGGTTGATTGACTTAAAAGTCAATCAGCTGGGGAGACACAAGAACCTGGGCCATATGCTACCCTGCAGCCTAAACTGGGCTTGCTCACATAGCAACTCAAAATTAAAAGAGCAACAAGCTAAACCTTAATTCATGAGCATTTTCAAGTTTCTGCTTTTGTCACATGTGCTAATTTTTTCATTATCCAAAGCAAGTTACATTGCCAAGACAAGAATGAATGAGGAAGGATCTATCAAAGGAGGAATGTAGGGAGGGACAAAATTACTGGAGACTCTTTCTGCAATAATCTACCATATGGGTAATGATAAATGGCGTGTTATAAAAAGTGGAGTTTATTTTAAATTTTAAGTTTAAACATGAAGATTTCCTTTTTCTGTAGAAGGGTATTAAACTTCCCTCCTTTCCCAGAGGAACCCTAATATGCTGGAGAGTATATAACATCCTAATAATCTCTCAGTTTTTAGGTTAAAGAGGTAGAAAACTAATAATAACTATCTGGGATGAGTAATACAGGATGAGAAAGAAAACAACCACTAAAAAAATGTTTGAGTCGCCAGAATAGATGTATGTAAGTCACAGGCAGGAATCTGGATGGGCTTTTAATGAAAGGAACCTGAATATTGATATCACAAGCAACTTTGTAAACATCACAGTGTTTCCCTACAATATATTTTGTATCACTTTCATAATTGAGAATAATTTAACTAAATTTTCATAAGTCTTATAGTCTTTTTGTAAAATTGCAAGTAAAAAAACCTAAGTATTATTACATTTAGATACCTGGGGTCTGGACCTCTCTTGAATTTTATAATTGAGATTAGGCTAAAAGCATAAGAGAAGCCAGGCAAATTTTCCTTTCTACAGAATATCCAGCTTATATTATGTTGTATAGTAAAAAGAAATGCCATATAACCTATTACTAGTTTCATACCCTGGCCCTAGCTGCGTAAATTTAAGCAAGATAGATTCTCTTTAACCATCAGTTTCTTCATTAAATGGTAATACAAATATCTATCTCCAAGGTCATTTTAAAGTTTAGATAATGTCACATGTAAAAAGGACTAAGCACTCAATTGATTTATCTGCAATTGGGAAAATGCACTATGAGAGTCTGATAAGAGAGCTATCACATAATCTCTATCAAATGCTACTGAACTCTCCATTGCTCTCTCAAGAGAAGCCTTTTTAGATGAGAAAATCAGACTAGTACATGTAGTGTTATTTCATCTTCTTCAAACCCCATCTCACAAAACTATCTTGAGGAAAAAGTCAATCAAATTTTATAAAAGGATTGTAGTTTAAGGCATTGTAATGTTAATGCATTCTCAGTACCAATTAAATCTGCTCATTAACAAATATAAATATTTGTTAAGAAATGCTTTTTTGTTTAATTTGGAGTAAGGAGAAACATAGAATGGCATTGAACGGAACAGAGAGAGAAGTAAAATTGAGAAACGGAGATACAAATGTATGTATATTTTTAGTATTTTTGTTTTCTGATTTTTATTTATTTATTTTTTTAAGAGACAGCATCTTGCTCTGTTGCCCAGGATGGAGTGCAGTGGCATGATTATAACTCACTGCAGTACCTAATTCCTGGGCTGAAGCCATCCTCCTGCCTAAGACTCCCAAAGCTCTGGAATTACAGGCGTGAGCCAGTACACCCAGCCTAGAATTTTTTTAGTGTTTTTAATTTTACTGTTCAAAGATAGTTTTCAACAATGATACAATGGCAGAAGCTCATGCCAGATAGCTGCACTCATTAGCATCTCTGAATCACATGATATACATACTTTTATAAAAAAATGACTAAATGCAAGAATATAATGCTGATTCTGAGAAGGTTTTTGAATCAATTAATTAAAGAAAAAGTAACATATGTCGTAGTTTTTCCTGGAACAGTGAGATTTGAACTGAGAACAGAAAATTGGAATCAGTTGTTTAGGTGAGAGTTGGGATAGCTGGAACAAAACATTCTGACAGAGAAAGAAAAATGTCCCCAAATTCTTGGGGTTTGAAAGGGCTGGTTGAGGCACTGAATAAAGACAATTTCAGTTAAAGCAAAAGTATAGGAGGGCATCAAGACCCAACATAAACTGGAAGAAGACGGATCCAGGCAGTGAAAGGCCTTGTGGATTAAGTGCATAGGTGCATCCTTTAATCTAATAGCAAAAGGCTTTAAGCAAGGTAAGGACAAGATTGGATTAATGACTTAAGGAGAGCATTCTAAGTGCTGTGTGGAGAAAAAAATTATAATAATACATAAAAGACTCTAGGAAAGCAGAAGGATTTTATGCTTTCAAGTGTTGTTGAAAAAATGATGCTAGTTGCTATTAAGATGAAAAGAATGAAAAGACCAATTTAGAATCCAACAACTTTGTAACAGATTCCATTTGGTGGCTTATGGAGAGAGAGAGGCAACCTCATTATTCTCATATTTCTCGTTTGAGCAACTTAGTGAATTACTGAGATGGGAGAATATGAAGGAAGTACAGATTTGAGGAAAGAAAATATGGGAATTTGCTTTTGGATATATTCGGTGTGAGTTTTCTTTAAGGAGAACATTGAGCAGAAACTAGAGGCTAATCCCAAGACCTGCAATATTTAAACTATAGCCATGAAAAATGACCTGAAAATGGGCCTGAAAGCTAAAAGGAAAATAAGAGGTATAATGTGAAACAAGTCCAGGAAAGAGCGTGTTTAAAAAGGGATTTCATTTTCAAATGTAATGAAAATTGATAAAGTGTAAAATAACAAGTGAAATGAGAAGTTGCTATTGGACTTAATGACAGAAATCAATGGAAGCTCAGAAAGAGTAAGTTGCATAGAGTGTTATAGTCAGACGCCAGAGTGAAGTGGGTTGAAGGGTAGCTGAGGTATGAAGAAGCAGAGACCCCAATACAGACAATTATCTCATAATACTTCATTACCGTATGGATAAGTGAAATGAGGGGATAATTGGAGAGAGATGTACAGTCAGTACAAAAATAGGGGTCACTGGCATGATTGAAGTTAATGTGAAATGTCTATTTGCAAAGGGGTATAACGATGTGAGATATTGTACGTTGGAATGATTGTCCCTGAAATGGAAGGTAGCCAACTACTGTGATGCAACAGAACCAGAAGGGAGAAAGGCAGATTGAGACACAGAACAAGGAAGTTTGCTGCATAGATTGACACTTCTTTTCAGGAAAGATTTCTCTATAGCATCTGATGCTGTTTCAAAGCATGTTACGCACAGTAGAACATTTTTTCAAAATTGGAGTCAATCATCTTAAACTCTAGTCCTTCCTTATCAACTAGGTTTAGGTAATATTCTAAATCCTTTATTGTTATTTCAACAATGTTCACAGCATCTTCTTAGGAGTAGATTTTATATCAGGCAAGCAAGTTTTTTGTTTATCCATAAGAAGAAAATCCTACTTTGTTAAAGTTTTGCTATGAGATTGCAGCAATTCAGTCACATCTTCATGCTCCACTTATAATACTAATTTTCTTATTATTTCCTCCATGTCTGCAGTTACTTCATCCACTGATGTCTTAAACCTCTCAAAGGCCTCCATGAGGGTTGGAATTGACTTCTTTCAAGCTCCTATAAATGTTGATATTTTGACCTCCTTCTATGAATCCCAAATATTCTTAATGGCATCCCGAATGGTGAATCCTTTCCAGAACTTTGCAATGTACTTCACCCAGATTAATCAGAGGAATTACTATCTGTGATAGCTATAACATTTGTAAATGAATTTTTCAAATAATAAGACTTGAAAGTAAAAAATTACACTTGATCCGTGAGCTGGAAAATTGATGTTATTTAAGCGGGCACGAAAACAACATTACTTTCCATGTACATCTTAATCAGACGTCTTGGGTAACCAGGTGCATTATCAATGAGCAGTAATATTTTGAAATACATCTTTTCTGAACAGTAGTTCTCAACAGTGGGCTTAAAACATAGGAAGAGTAAATTTAGCCCAAGGGTTTTTGGAATAAGAATTGGCTTCTACTTAAAGTCTCCAGTTGCCTTAGCCCTTAACAACAGAATCAACTTCAACTTTGAAGCCACGCATTGACTTCTCCTCTTCAGCTATGAAAGTCCTTGATGGCATCTCACTCCAATAGAAGGCTATTTTGTCTACATTTAAAATCTGTTGTTTAATGCAGCCACCTTCATCAATGGTCTTAGCTAGATCTTCTAGCTTCATTTCAGATTCTACCATCAGCACTTTGGGCTTCATCTTGTACTTTCATGTTGTGATGACAGCATCTTTCCTTTTAAACCTCATGAATTGACCTTTGCTAATTTTCATCTTTTCTTCTGCAGCCCCCTCACCTCTCTCAGCCTCCATAGAATTAAAGAGAGTTAGGATCATGCTCTGTTTTAGGCTTTGGCTTAAGGGAATGTTGTGGCTGGTTTGATCTTTTATACAGAGCACTAAAAGTTTATCCATAGCAACAATAAGGCTTTTTTACTGTGTTATTATTTTCAGATTTACTGATATAACACTTGTAATTTCCTTCACGATCTTTTCCTTCTCATTCATAACTTGGCAACTTGTTTAATGCAAGAGGCCTAGCTTTTGGCCTGTCTTGGCTTTCAACAATCCCTCCTCTCTAAGCTCAGTCATTTCCAGTTTTCAATTTAAAGAGACAAATGACACTTCCTTTTACATAAATACAGGCTATTCTAGGATTGTTAATTGACCTAATTTCAGTATCCATGTGTCTCATGGAATAGGGAGGCCCTAGGAGAGGAACAGAGACAGGAAAATGGCTGATCAGTGAAGCAGTCAGAACACACACAACATTTCTCAATTATGTTTGCTTTCTTATATGGGTGTGGTTGTAGTGCCCCAAACAATTACAATAGTAACACTAAGGATCACTGATCATAGATAACCATAACATATAGTAATAATAAAGAAGTTTGAAATATTGAAAGAAATGCCAAAATGTGACTCAGAGAAACAACGTGAACACATGCTGCTGGAAAAATGGAGCTGATTGACTTGTTCAATTTGGGATTCCCTTAGACTCTGTATCTGTAGAACACGTAATTTTTTCCAAGTGCAATGAGTGGAAGAACAATAAAACAAGGTCTACTTGTATTTATGAAAGAGTAGCTATAAATAAAATCTTAAAAACCAAACTAGAAAATGGAAACTGCATCTAAGAGATTTGTACAATTAGAGATTATGGACTACATTAGAGAAAATGAACTATCATATAGGTAGGGTAGTCAGACATGGTAAAAATAAAGAATGCCTTTATTAGTGATTTTTTAGCCACTTCTGTTTAGCTTGATGAAATAATCCTTTGACCATCCAAGGGAATATGTTAGACTGCTAAATGGGAGGTTCACATGGAAGCTGTTCCAAGGAAATTGAACGTTATGAAGTAGAATGTTGGGAAAGTGTTAAAATCTTCACAGAATAAAAGGATTTAAGAGAGTTGGAATATGATGCCATAGAAGAAGACCATGGCAGTTGGTAGGGAGATTAAGCATGCTTAAAAGAAAGGGGACACTTATAGGAGGTAGAGAACATGTTTCTAAAGTCTGGATCACTGAAAATATGAACAGTATTATGACATGATATAGGAGCATATGACACACACACACACACACGTGCACACACACACACACAATTTGAGTTTAATCCTGTTATTTGGGGAGGGAGAATAATCATGACTGGTATAAATAAGCTTTGATCTGGAAGAATGTTCTAGTAAGAGAAAGAGTCAGTAATTCATATGGTGAATTATTAGTGGTGGCTGGAGTACACAGAGTTCAATAGTAGCAAACACACACATGAGAGACACATGGTCCTCTTGACAAAGGCATAAGCATAATGAAGTGAAAAATACACTATTGTAGAATTTATACAATATTATTCTTTGAAAAAATAACTGCCTTTCATTGGGGGTGGGTAGTTTTAAGTTTCATGTTACAAAAATATAAGATTCTAAAATTACAAGTACTACATAATTCTCTGACAAAATAAATAAACAAATTGCAAATATGTTTTGCTTAGATAATGAGAATTTTTCTGGAGATGAGTAGGGAGAGGAGAGTATATAAGGGAGCAAATGTTGGGCAAATAAAATCTTAGAATTCTTAGTAATTGTTTGGAGCAAAATGACAGGAAAACACAAACTTTAAAAAAATTATTTCAATGGCTTTTGGGGTACAAGTGGTTTTTGGTTACATGGATGAATTATACAGTGGTGAATTCTGAGATTTTAATGCACTTGTCACCTGAGTAGTGTATGTTTTATGCAATATGTAGTTTTTTACACTACCACTCCTCTTTTACCTTCCCCTTCTGAGTCTCCAAAGTCCATTAAATCACTCTGTACTCCTTTGTGTAATCATAGCTTAACTCCCACCTATAAGTGAGAACATACAGTATTTTGTTTTTTATTCCTGAGTTACTTCACTTAGAAAAATTGCCTCCAGCACCAGCCAAGTTGCTGCAAAAGACATTATTTTGTTCATATTTATGGCTGAATAGTATTCCATAGTGTATATATACCACATTTTCTTTATCCACTCATTGATTGATGGGCACTTTGGTTGTTTCCATATCTTTGCAATTGTAAATTGTACAAATGTTTAGATAGCTAAAAATAAATAGATTAATTAAAAGATTATCTAATCTAAAATTTCAATTTATTTAGCTATTTTAATGTGGTATCTTTTCCTGGAATCCAAAATCTTCAGTAAAATTTTATTACTACTTGTATGGATGTGTATTTTGGGGAATGGGTAGAATTTTAGGAAGTTCCTCATTTTCTCATCTCAGTCAGTAAAAACATGATCTAAAAATAAAAGGCCTGGAAGCAATTCACTAGATGCAGAGGTCACCATGAAATCGTGATTCTTCAGAAACCTGGGAGAGGAATTTAGATTCCTATGCACCATGGAACATGGATTCAGGGCAATGTCATATATGGATTTACAGAAGCAAAGAGGCCTGTGCTAGTATATGACTTACAGAAATTGAATCACCCTAGCTGGCATTGCAGATCTGAACTTGCCCTCTATTCAATGGCCCAACACTCCCTGTGGCCTTCAATGCAGATATCTCAAGTACTACTCACTAACACCTTGTGGAGTTGTTACTACTATCATCCTCACTTTGAAAAAAAAATAAAGTTGCTTAGAAATATTGAGTAACTTGCCAAAATTTAGTTTGCTGGTAATTGACAAAATCAGGATTTGAACCAAGGTTTCTCTGTCTACAAATGCTACTAGCATAACTACTACATTCAAGAGTTCTCTTAAATATTATTAAATACATATGTGCAGTCATAAGGACATTTAGTCTTACTTTCATAGGAATCAAATAAGATTACCTTATATACACACATTTTTCTATTTATTGAGATCCATATCAAATGTAGATCAGTTAATGTTTATTGAGCATACTCTATGACCAACACTAGGCTAGAAACATTTGTATATGCTGCTTTTTATCCTGTTTATCTGCAAAGTCCTGATCCATGATCAGTGGCATATGGGTGCTATCAATTATGTCAGTGCTACTGATGGATATTCATTGTTCTATTTGAAGATGACTGTTGGATCAGCAAGCTTGACTGTGTTCATGGTATCCCACACTTTCATGGGGTACAATGAACTAACTGTGCATCAAAAGGATCAACTACCTACTTTTGCTTTACTTAGCAACACAGTAAATTATAAAATTTTATTATTCTGAGACAACTGTCTCTAATATCAGACATAAATACAATCAAGTAAGAATCAAGATGAAAATAGACATTTTCAAAGCATTTCACTCATTACACAAATATTTATTAAGTGCATACTGGATGTCAGATATTATTTTAGAGTTAAAGATACAACAATGAACAAAACAGAAAAAAACACTGCCCTCTTGTAGCTTACATTTTAGTGAAATATATCTGTCTTCAGTACATTTATTAGAGGACTGTGGTATAGTGGCAGACATAAGGGCTTTGCAACAGATCACTTGTTAATATTGGGACCTTTCCTTGGACTTTGAATATTCTTAGCTACACAATACGAAAACTTATATGAAGACCATTGAAAGGGTTAATTACAAGGTAATGTGTGCACATTTAGTATACATGCAAGAATTATCTTTCTAGACATTGTTTTTTGAGCTAATACTGAGGAACATTACTAATTCAGTGAAAACATAACTGGTATCATTAAACATCCTTTTATCATAGGTTCAAGTGGGCTATTCTTTGGAGAAATGTTTGCAGCTTCTATTTATTTCATTTTAAAGATCTTTGGTACATGACTCTCACTGGGCTCCCACAGGGCTAAAACTCTAGGAGTGGAAAATAGATTTTCCATAATTACAAAGAATTTGATGATAAAGAAATTCACACAAAAGATATCAGACTTCTATTAAAATGGATCAAACATCTTATTCTTGAGTACAAAGCATGTTGTAGTGAAAAAATTGAATGGTGATGAGTCAGAAGTTTTGATTTTTATTCATAGCTACATAATTTCAAACCATGTGATCCTCATTTAATCACTTTTCCCCACAAACTGTTTCCTCATCTGTAAATTGAGAGCAGTATTTCTGCATCCATAGATTAGAGAACTGTTCTGAGGATCAGTTGAAAAAATTATGTAAAATGTATCTGAAAACTGCTCTCTAAATATTAGATTGCTTGGCACACAGCAGGCATTCAATAAATATCTGCTGACTGAAAGAAGATTTTATTATCACTTTTGCATCCAGGACTGAAGTGTCTTAATTCATTGTAGACACAGTGAACTAGTATTTGGAGGTAGCAGAGTGACTCATTTATATTTGACAGATAATCAGCTTGTGCTACCCAGTTTAATTATATATCTTCATGGGGAACTAAGGTTATGATAGAAAATGAAGAGCAACTCTCACAGCCGTTAGTCTACCAGTATGCACTAATCATAAAATGTGGAAATCTGAACTCTTGTTAAGTGCAGTGCAGAAAATGGAGCCAAGATGGGATACATTCTCACCATGGAAGCTCTGACCTTTTGTATTACTACTCTTTATAAATATTTTGTAAATATTCAATAAATATAAGTAAGTGAAAGTACTCCTTACATTTTATGGAAATAGAAAAGCTTTTGGACCACAGGTGACTAAACAGTAAAATCAATAAAAAGAGCAGTTATTAAAGTAATAATTGTGATACTATTTTCAATCATATCATTATAGTTATAATATTGATCGTAGGCATGTATACATAATGGAAATTAAATAATCAAGTTGCCTAATCAGCAGTGGGGTTTTCATTGTAATTGTTTTCTTCATAAAATTGCTATTTACTCCATCTCCCTAGATTGATGAGGTATATTTTTTTTTTCCTGAGTAACATTTTCAACCAGAATTCTGATGGCTAAGATATTCAATTACTCTCAGGTAGTCTCGCATCCCAAAATCCCAATTTCTAGAATTTCAACCCCAACATGATCCTTAATGGGAATTTGCCATTCTGCCCTTGGATAATACTCGTTTGAAACATCAAGAATCTACTTGAAATGCAACAAATTGAAAAGATCCCCTGAGCTTAACTCAGCAGACACTACTTCCTATGCTGACTTTAGGGACCATGTTTAATCAGACAGGGTCCTCCTCAGGCACCAACTAAATTTTTACAATTCTTCCTGTTTGGTTTAATCTACTTCAACAGACAGTTATTCTGTAGCTCCTAGGTGTAATATTCTCCATACCTTTTCATTAAACTGAAGAAATAGGAAAATGCCTGAATGGCTTTTTTAAAGTAAATTGGTTTAGATGGTAAAGAAAAATACAGATCCAATGAAAGATATTGCTGTGACTCTGAGTGGTGGAACATAGAGAAACTTTAGGAATGAAGAACATTATCCTGGCATGTAAAAGATAGGTGGATTTGGGTAAGCAGATATGATTTAGGGGAGAGGAGTCTACTCATAATAAGCAGGTAAGCTGTGCAGAGATCCATCCTAGATTGACAATAGTTTCAGATAAGGAGGTGAGTAATAAGGCTGAAAAATGGGAATGGGGGCAAAAGAACAGTGTGTTTTTAGAAGAATCAGCAAAAAAGCTGTGCATAAGGCATTTAAACTAAAACATCTTTAAAAAAATAGAAGTGCTAGTTAGTGTGACTTCGAGAGTGATCTGTAGGCCAGTGTCTTTCTATCAGATGATAGCATTCTTCAATGAGATAAAAGGAGAAAATGAGAGTCAACATTTTCAAATCCTTATAGCCCTTTAAGCACTATTATGTCTATTAGGTCTAATAATTTAAAAAATGATGTTTGCAGTTTATATGTATTTTTTAATTTCATTTTTCTGATAATTTATTTTAATGGCTTTTTACAAAAGTATTAGCCCATGACGGATTTGGGGAGAACCTCCTCCCCTCCTTTTAACCACAAATAATTTGAGAAGCACTGGTGTGGTGCAGTAGCAGCACATGATAAATGAGGATGTACAGAAGTGACAAGGCAGAATCAGGCCAGATAAACGTCCCTGAATGGTTACGCTGGTTCTCAATTATTTATTTGCCATGGGGAGCCAGGGAGAATTTCTGCACCTCCCACTGCTTCCTTTAAGTTGTCATCCTCCTCCACTGCTGCAGTCTGGAGGTTCTCCCTGGAGGCTGTATTCATTGACAACATTTCCTGAGGTAACTCACACTGAGGTGACAACCTTAATAGCAACACTCTGGAAATGCGCCCAGTAGCAGCTACTGCAGTGTTCTTCATCTAACTGGATTTTTTGGCCTTAAACTCTCTTCTTTCCTGGCTTCCATGATATCAGTTTCTCCTGTTCTTTACCTGCACCTCTGATACATCCTAGCTATCTTCTGTGCTGACTCCTCTTTTCAAAAATTACTAGTACATGTCCTGACCCCTAACGTTTCATACATCCCAGCCATTGGATGTAAACTTGTTTGGGTTCATGGATCTCATTGAAAACATGAGAAAAATTGTATATGAACCCTTTTCCTTTAAAAAAAGCATATGAACACATGCGATTACAAATTGACTTTAAATTTATTTTATTACATATGTCTACCAGATACATAATTTGTTTTTTCTTATTTATTTTTTATGCATAAAGTGCCAAATAATAATGAACCAGGACAAAAATCACCTTTGGATCAGCAAAGGTAACCTCCTATAAAAAGTCAGAATGGTTGTATAGAAACCGCTGAGGATAGTCATTCTGCCTACACTGAGTGGGCAGACATAAGTTGTTTATTTCACAAGAGGAAAAAAAGGTAAGATAATTTCTGTTTTTAGACACTAGTAAATTCACTTTATTCTTTGGAAGAGCAGAAAGGATTTCAGGATCCTGAGAGGAAAATTGCTAGAACCATTCATGCCGAGCACTTTTGCAGCCTTCTCCTATCTTGAGAGCATGTGCAACAAGATCAGTGAGGGCCCAAGGCAACAACCTTAGGATGATAAACATGGGCCAAGCTTCACATTGAGAAGTAGACTCCCTCTCTGTGATGAAACACTACAGTCCATGCTGCAAATTAGACACCAGTGAGTCATCTCAATAGTGTTAAGCTTCCAGCTATGTATGAACAGTCTTAAGTAGTGACTTCATGCCTCCTGAAGAACGAGGGCGGAAAGGGAATAACCAGACTGTATCTGTCTGGCACATAGGAGCTGGACACCATAAATTCCTGAGCATCTTTTGAAAATTATATGAGGCAAAAGGAAAAGGAAAAGATTCAAAAGTAGATTCTGAACTGACTGCCAACCAGAGAATTAAGCAGCTTGGAATTAGTATTGGAATAATAAAATGCATATTACAATGTATGGTTTAAGTCTATATTAGCTAAAAATAAATTATTAAAATATATATACAAAGATTTAACTAAAAAGAGATTTATTCATCTCTTCATCTTATGTTTAAATGAAAAATTAACCATTTGATGACAGGAAAATCCTTGAGGGTCAAATTTGACAAATAATAATTCTAATTTAATTTGCTTAGAATTATTTTAGTGAGATTGTATTTATTGATCCTGAAAAAAGTTGAATATCAGTATGCATATCATATCTTTAGTTTAATGAATAAAGCTTCCTATTTTTATCAACATCTCTGAAATTTCGGCCTCTATTCTATGATAAGTCCACAGTTTGATTTAATGAAACCTTTAGAAAACTGGACAGCATTTTCAGGTGTCTTCTTTGTCTAACAAAGAAACAAATAATGCTGTATCGTCTTCAAATCTGGTGTATATAAGTATTTTTTATCACACTGAAAGGATCATGTAGTTTATCTAATCTCCTCTTCCAGAGTAGCATTTTGGCCAAAAGAGCTCATAGTCTATCAGCGCCATCTGCAATCCTGAATGCATTACAAGAATAAATCATTCTTGTAATCAAAATATTGCCTAAGTCAGTGGACATCAGAGTGCTAATTCTTAAGTCTTACCACAAATCTACGGAAACAGAAACTCTGGAGGTGGAACCCACTAGTCTGTTTTAACAAGCCCTCTAGATAATTCTGCAGTGCACCACAATTTAAAATCCATTGCTCCTAGTAAACAGTCTTCTAATTAAACTTTGTCAAATAAGAACCCCTTCTAGTCAAATTGTTCTAGGAATATTTTTCTCTTCTTCTCAAATAAAAGATACACCAACCCGTTGAAATTCAATCAAATTCCTTGAGACTTTTACTCTGGAAATCTAGGAAATATCTATACACAGATGAATACAGCATATTTTGCTCCCATTTTATAGAAAACAAGACCCCTGATACTGAATAATTCAAATTCTTGGCTTTAATGAAGCTGATGACATTCAGAGAAATAAGCAAGTCATATGCCTGTAATGTTAACTGAGATTTTCTGACAATGTATACAAATGTTACAAGCTATAATTCTTAATGGTGTGTGGTTTTGTTTTTTCCCCACAGGCAAATAATCAAGATATGTTATCAAATATTACAGATGCTTACCTAAGCTCAAAATACTTCAATTTTGTTTCATTTAAAGATGTACTTACAAAATTTTTTTGACTGATTCAAACTTTTGACACCTTTTGATTAATAAAGTGGAGTGATCAAGTTCAGCAGATCTGTTGTACAACTGAGTAGCTATAGTTAATAATAATGTATTATATACTCAAGTAGATCTTAAATGTTCCCACAAAAAGATAAGCATATGAGGTAATGTGTATGTTAATTAGATTGATTTAGTCATCTCACAATGTATACATATATCAAAACATCATGTTGTACACCATAAATATATATAGTTTCTATTTGTCAATAATAAATAAATACATACCTACATACATATTTAAAAGTGGTGTGAGAACACATATAATTCTGTAAGCCTGGGAACTGGCCATGCAGAAGGATGTGAGAGCATGCTTATCCGAGTGCAGGTTGGAAGGAAATAAATTGAGAATCTATTTCTTCATGACTAGTTTTGATACCAGAATAAGTATCATATGGGGGTATTAGGCAGTGTGGTGCCATTTGTCAAATGGTATCATATCTACTGTATTTCTTTGTGCCAAGTAATAATTTGATTTAGCCACTTTCAGAAGAAATAGCTTCACCAAATTGTGCCAAATCGTGTGTTGATTCCTTGGTTTGACTATATGATGAACAAATTATGAGATTTTTTTAAGGCAGGGATTGGGGCAAATCCAAGATGTAATTGTTGCCCAGCCTTTTTCAAATTGAGATTATTTTTTACATGTGTTTTCAGGATAAGCAGTTATGAAGGGCTGCTTTAGTTTCAATGGCTCCATGCTTACTTTACTAAATCCCTGACCAAATATATAATATTACTGCAGCTTATTTTATAGCATTATATTTTGCATGGTGAGTAAATCCAAAAGATGAGCAAATTCTGCTGACCCCTTCCCTCCCTCCCTCCTCCCCACCCATTCTGCCTGCCTGCCTGCCTGCCTGCCTGCCTGCCTGCCTGCCTTCCTTCCTTCCTTCCTTCCTTCCTTCCTTCCTTCCTTCCTTCCTTCCTTCCTTCCTTCTTCCTTCTTTCTGTCTTTTAACTAAGTCTAATGTAGAAATACAGAGAAGGCCACAATGAAAATGACAGCCTATATTTTTATATAATATAGTGAAAAAGTACGCTGGCATCATTAGATGGTAATAGTAATGTTGTTACCATTACAGAGTAATCATAACATCTCATGACATTTTAATTTGTTTGGAGAGAAACAATCACTTAAAAACTAAACGATAAGAATTTTCAAATAACTGGAAGAAATCCATTAGGAGAAACAATGTATGTAAAGCTTATGCATGATCCCATAACTACCCCTGCAGATTTTAGACCAATGTTTTAATCCCTTTCCTTATGTATTCACTTAGAGTAGTCATAACCAAATCTATATTTTCCATCAACCTATCGAAAACCAAAACTAAATGTATAGAATTTTGCATTGAGCTGACTTCGGGGACTTTTAGTCAATTTTCCAAATGATCGCTTTTCTCAGTGGATACCACCTAATAGTACTTATTCAATTTTTCCTCCAAGCTTCTTTTCACTTTTATTGACTAGTTCATTAGATTGCAGTACTATTTACTTAGTTGCCAAACTGTGATGTTACATTTAACATCCTCACTTGAAAAAGTGCATAATATTTTTTATAAAATATACCTCTAAAATATTTCCATATGATTTCTTGGTACCAATGACTGACTTCACTCTGAATTTCTGAAATAATTTTTTAACCACCTAAAATTCAGTCATTTATTTTTTCAATCCATCGAATATACAAACCTCAAAATTGTTTTTCTAACAGGCCAAATTTTATCATTACTCTCCTTTTAAAAAAGCCTTTAGTGACTTCCCACTAACACAATGCAGCCCCAACTTCTTACCTTGGACACCCATGCATGGCCTTTCACCAACAGACTGCTTCTCTCTTTCTCTTTCTCCTCTCATACTTATACTGGAGTTGCATCAGTGCTAAATGTGGTTTTGAGATTTAAATCTTTGGCCCATTCTGTAAGAATATACAAGCATTTTAAGTTTATATAATCACATATTAAATGAAGAAATTAATTTTCCTTCAATTGCATTGTATCATGCCCATAAAATTGATTTTTCTAAAGATAGAAAGCAGGCCATATGGAGTACAGTATGGGTTCTCCATTCCAGTGACCTTATTTTGAATCTTCATAGAACTATTATTTGAGGAAAAATCACTTAGTCTTCTAGGTTTTAGGTTTTCGTTTTCTCAGTTGTAAAAGGAGGTAATAGTAGCATCTGCCTCGTTGGGTGGAGGTGGTATGGGATTGAGATATTGCATGTAAAGTGGTTGAGAAAGTTCCTGACACGTGTGTTGAAATAATAAATGTAATCTGTTATAGAAATTGACTTTTCATACCCTAATTTATTGTAACAACTTAATACTCCAAATCTGTTTTGTATTTTCATTAGTTGATTCACCAAATTTATTCACTTCAGGCATTGTTCTTTGCGTCATGGCAGCCATTGTGATGCTAAAATTATACATAACTAATACTTAAAACTCACATTCTTATAATTAACATTAAGCATGGCCAGGCACGGTGCCTCACACCTGTAATCCCAGCACTTTGGGAGGTCAAGGCGGGTGGATCATGTGAAAACAGGAGTTTGAGACCAGCCTGGTTAACATAGTTAAACACTGTTTCCACTAAAAATACATGGAGGCCCACGCCTGTAATCCCAGCTACTCGGGAGGCCGAGGCAGGAGAATAGCTTGATCCTGGGAGGTGGAGGTTGCGGTTAGCAGAGATCACACCACTGCACTCCAGCTTGGGGAACAAGAGTGAAACTCTGTCAAAAAAAAAAAATTAAGCATAGTCGTAACCTTCCATGTTCGATCATCAGCAGTTATACTTTTTGTCCCTAATCCTCCAATACCATTAAAAGTAGATTTTACACTTATTCCATACAAGAAAATATTGAAGCTCTAATAAGTCAAATTATTTCATGGTAATATAGGAAATAAAGGTAGAATTGAAATTTGATTATATTCATTGTTTACTACAATGTCTTGAACTCATACTGGTTACCATTTGCTTATTATCTTTAATAGATTATTAAGTATGATAAGGGTTTATATATTATTTTAAAACATCACAGGTAAGGTTAAAATTTCTCTTTTTAATATAGGAAAATTAAAATTAAATTGTAGTGGATGCACATCATAGAGAAATATGTGTGAGTTAGAAGCAATGAACTAGATATGTGCATACCAAAATAATTGGGTCTTTAAAGAGTGGTTCCAAGTTAAAAGTAAAACAAAGGCAACATAAATACAAAATCTAAATATACATAAAATAATCTATTTTCCAATAACAGGCAAGAATAAAATGATATCCATTCAGTACAGGATAAGGTTGCCTATAGGGAGAGCTTTTAGTAAGAGTGATGAAAAGTGACAAAAAAACACAAGAAGGGTCTTGTAAGAACCAGTGGTGAAATGTGCCATTAACAGAGTAATGAGATTAACTAAATACTCTGTACCCAATATACATTTAAAGGAGAGAAGGATAAAGAGAGAGAGGGAGAGAAGAGAGAGGGAATGCAAGTATGCAAGAAGGGAGGAGAAAGAGAAAGCTAGAGAGACAGTGAGACAGTAACAAAGAGAGAGAAATTGATTAGAAAATTTGCCTAAGAAACAGAGCAAAGCCAGCATTAAACTTTCACTCAATATAGTCCATACTCTTCCCAAAATATGATTTTTCCAGTGTTAACATTTCACTTTTAATGCCAAAAATAATGTGATATTGTACTTTGACAATGAGACAGACAGGTGTGCATTATGGAATTCTGGAAAATATTTATGTTTTTCGTGTTTATTACTCAATATAGATCATGTATTTCTAGATAATCAGGAGCACTCAGGTAGCTATTGAAAATATTCTAAAGCAGATTTGTAATTGAATTCTCATGAGCGGAACTCTAAATGATATATTTTTAGAAAACACTACAAAATTTATACTTTTATTTGCAATTTTTATGGATACTGCATATTTTATATGTTAATTTAATGATTTTAAACATTTTTTTTAATTCCACAGAGCCATTTTTAATGAATTATGTTTGACCCTCAATAAGTGATATCAAAATTATATATATTCTAGTTGCATGTTTGGGGAAAAAAGCCCCACCTGTATACCAGCTTCCTTTTAACCTGTGATGAGACACAACAGTATTTATTTTATAGGAAGAAAATTATAGGTCAAAAGTCTTAGTTTCATAACAGCTTTCCTTAAAAATGTGTATATTTGTCAATGTAGCTTTTACAGTCTAGTGTCAGCTTACATTTAAAGCCAATAAAGATTTTATGAGTTTATAAATGAATGAGTACATATAATAAAATGTTTCAAAGGATTCACCTTTTATTTCTAAATGTTGGAATTTTTAATTACTCTAACTGCACAAATTGCACAAAATACAAGAAGGGCAAATATAAGTTGAAAGATCAGTTGACTAGCCTTTGTGTAACCAATTGAACCATAAAGTGCATTTTTGTTTGTAATTTGTTTCCTGAATTTGTCTTACTCTGCTAACAATTGTCTTCATTTTCTTTGCTCTTTTATAATATTATTGATTTGCCAGTCTTTCTACAAAAATATAGAAATCTATCTATTCCAACATCTGCATAATGGCTCTATCTCAAACCAATCTTGAAGCAATATAAATGAAAAGTAAATTATTTTCATATAAATAATAATATTTACTGAATATTTATTATAATTTAAGCTCTGCCATTCAGTTTAGATGCATTGTTTTACTTAATGCTCAAGAAATCTTATGAGAAATGAACTATTATTATCCTTTTATGTTAAGGAACTACACCTCAAAGAGTTTAACTTGTTTACCTATATCAATAGAGGAATGTAGGTGCTAGAAATATATTTATGAGGTAGCTGTGCATTAGTTATCAAGTTATCTAACTCTGAGTTGTTAAAGCTCATCTGATACAGACCACCTACCAGAGACAAAACTGTAGGCTAGCAAAATAGGTTTATTGACTTGCTATGTCAAGGTGAATTGCATGACACAGGCCCATGGGATTTCTACATGAAGGGTGAGGAGGTAGGAAGTTTTGTGTCACCATGAATGATTCTAAGAGGTAAGGATAGGAAGGATTAGATCTGATTGATTGCATTATTTAATGTGGAAATAAGAGAAGTAGATTTGAGCTCAGGACTGGTTGCTGTCATAAAGTGATGGAGGCTAACAATTGGGTATCATATTGACCTTGATTTAAGAGCTGAGAGTAAGGAAGTAGGGCTAAGCAAGTTATTGATAAGAAAGAAGTAGGTTCAAAGAAGGCGAGTCATTTTGACACTGTACAGCTGCAATGAGAAAAGCACTATTTCTGGTTAACTTTGTAGCTGACTTTATCAGTGTTTGTTGTCTTTGCCAGCTTAATTGCAGAGATGATTCTTCATGTTTCAGTCCTGAGCAGATTTTTTTCTCTTCATATTTCAGAGTATTTTTTACTCCTCAGAGCTCACAACGTAGTTATTATTTAAAAGGTGGAGTCTGGAGCCAGAAAGTTGGGAAATGATTCCTTGTCTCTTAATTCCAAATTAGGGGATTGTAGAAATTCCCATAACTTCTTGTTGCTTAAGTTTTCTCATATGAAAAAGTGGGTAAAATAATAACACGTTCCTCATACTTGAAATATAAATTTAGTCCAGAACCTGGCATTTAGTAAATACGATACAGGCGCTATTATGTTAACCATATTCAACAATAGGTAAAGAATTTCTTAATGCCTACAAAATATGTGATGCAATTTCTGCATTAGGCACGGAAATACAATGCAGTTGATTGTGTGTATAGTGACTACAAAACCAATGCAAAAGATGAAGACACAGGTATCGCAATGGATAGAACTTGAGCTTCCAATCTGCTTTGCTATTACCTATTCCAGGAAAAAGTTTCACCATGAGAGCATGTTACATACTAACAATGTAAATGGAAAATTTAACTAAAATAATGTGTACCTTGGCCTAATTAGAATTCAAGCAAAGGCTAAAATTCTTTTTTCATCGATTGAAAACAATGATTAAAGCACACTGTCTGTTGTTACTCATAAATGTTTCACAACATTCAGGTGAGAAAACTGAGGCTCTAAAAGATTATATGAATTTTACTTTCGCGATCACACAGCTAAAATCCATTTTTAACATATAAGAACAACGATAAGGCTCAGTACAAGTCATATATTTCTAATAGAAGGAATAATGTTGATAATATGAATCTTGCAATACGTATGTCAAATTTCTTTAATATTGGGAGCATTTCCACCATACCCTATAGTCATTATTCTATTAAATAAAGTTTCCGTTTTTCCTCATTCTGGATTATCTTTGTTTTTGTAAGGTTTTTCAGTACATGTTTTGCCTAACCATCCAGTTTTTTATTTTTCTTTTCTAGAAGATCTTGCACAAATTAAATATTACAAATCATCAATATACATTTTTACTTTAGTTTTAAATTTTGGAATGTTATAGAGACATATTTCACATAAAATATATTTTACACATTTAAAGTATATAATTGAAGGGTTTTTATTATATGCACAGCATTGTGCAACCATCATATCAATTTTAGAACATCTTTTATCATCCTCAAAAGGAACCCAGTATTCATTAGCTGCCATTGGCCAATTCTCCCTTAACCCAAGGAAAGCACTAATTTACTTTATAAAATCACCTATCCTGGACAATAAACACTTTTAATTACCTTATTTATACTTCTGAATACATACGAATTTTCAGTCTACACACAATTGGTTATTTCAGTCTTGATCCCTTATTGCATCTACTCTAGGCAAAATAGTCTATTTTTTAACTCCACATTATTTTTTTCTACTGTCAAATTAGAATCATAATCTATCCAGCTTAATCCAAGTTTACCTTATAAAAGTATTTTTCTATAATTTTCTCAACACTTAAAGCTTCAATTCTGTTGCAAGAATTTTGACATAAACTATTACTGCAAGACTCGTGGAGGGGACATACAATAATGACTATATATATATAAAGTCATATAATAATGACTATCACTATATAATAATGATATACATTATGACTAAACCTGTAGAATATAAAATAATAAGAGGTATATACTTGTCAATGAGTTATTTTTCCTTCCCAGCATATTTTAATGACTTTTTCATGTGTCAGATATTTATCATAGAAGGCATAAGGGCAATACTGTTTGTTTAATAATTTCCCCTCATTTTATTTATCCTTTGATTGTATTTCTATTATTTCAGCTAAGCTCACTTTTTCTCTTTTCAATAAAAGACTAAGATTGACTCATCAGATGAAAAAATTGATACTACTCTGATAAAAAATAATGACGTCTTCAATTTTGCCTTGTCATTTCGAGAAGCTTAGAGTAACCACGTGAAAACTGTCTGTGGTTGGGATAATGTTCAGCTCATTCAAAGAAGCACAAAGGAGAATTACTCCCATCACAATTGATACTTCTTTTGAGGAATCCTTTAAATCATTTTAAACGCCCCCACAAATAATTTTTCACTGCTTTTTTCTTATGAATGTTTTTCCTGTTAGAGAATAGATTTCTAGATTGCTTTGTTTCTGAGAGTATAGCCCCCCAAAAAATAATAATAAAGGGAAAGGCAACTTTCTGATCTTCTTTCCTAAAGCACAAATGACTTACCCTTCAAATGACTCCTGTGATTAGGGAAAATAAATGAGCATTATACACCATGCTTTCAAATACTTCATTTTCCTGTCATTATGGTGTGCTAAGCTTAACATTTCTAATTATATACATCTGTAACTTTTATTCAAGACTCTTGTCCTTTACTGAAAGAATCTAGCTTTCCCAATCTTAGCTAGTGACAAAAAATAAATTTTCTTAGTCTAATTTTAAATTAGATTAATTGAAAACTCATTGAATTGTGCTAAATGAAAGATCTCATTCATTCTGCCTAATACTGGATGAAACAATTTCTTTCATGTGAACTCTGATTATTTTCCTTATCATAAATTCCCTTTATGTTCATGCTTCTCCTCTGGCCTGGGATGCTTACCTCTTTTTAAAAATTATTTTCACTCAGCTTCATCTTTTTTGATTAAGCACTTGTATAATATTCTAATCCAATTTTGACATGAACAACTCTGAGTCTGCATTTTACTGGTAGATAATCAAAATTGTTTGAAATGGATGAAGTTTAATATGTCTCTAGAACATTGCTATCAGGCTATAAAAAACAGTTATTCGACCAGATTTCAATATACATGCAGACATTTATTAAGTAAATATGTAATTAAAGGCACAGAATATTTTATAAAATTTATTCTATAAATAGAAGAATTGCCATATCTTTGTGTTTTGTGTATCTGAACACAACTTTCGTATATTATTTATAGAGATATGTCTGATATTCCAGAAACTCGATTCTGTGACCTTGATTATTGGCAATGTGTAAACCAAATTTTCCTAATTCAATAGGTAAATGTAGGGCCTTTTAGGGATCAAACTTTAGTTTTCTCCTTACTGGCTTTTCTAGACTCTTATGGTTATTCACTTAAGGTTGTGTTTGTTGATAAAGTAGTTTAACCATTTTACTTTATCAACTGCCAATAATCCAGTCCGAGAGAGATCCAATTTCTAATATTTATTTGGCTCATTGAAGACATACTAATTTTACTAGCTTACCATTTCTGAAATGAGATAAATGACTGGCCTTAGAGCATAGCTTAAATCAGCCCAGCTTTTTTACATGGTGCTATTCTGGCTGATTTGTTTTAAGTTAGTTTACAGATTTCATAAGAGTTAATTGGCATGTTGTCTTTTCTGTGAAGGAACCCTCCTTTGCGGCAAAACAATGGGGAAAAACAGTTATTTATTATTCTATTTAAATTCTCTTCTACTTTAAGAGTTAATATGTGATGATATAGCTAGAAGCACATTGTCCATTTTATACTATTTGAAATCTCTGCAGTAGATTTTCCAGAGGGCCTATTCTTGAATGCTCTATGGCAATAATACAGCTGTATGAGGAAGAGAAATGGGTCAGCCAGATAATAGTTGTCTCTAAAATACCTTCAAAGTATCACTGGTTTTGCTACCTAGAGATTGGAGTGGGTAGCTGGCCACAGTGGCTCATGTCTGTAATCTCAGCACTTTGGGAGGCCTAGGCGGGTGGATCACTTGAGGTCAGGAGTTTGAGACCAGCCTGGGCAACATGGTGAAACCCCGTCTCTACTAAAAACACTAAAATTAGCGGGTTGTGGTGGTGTGCACCTGTAGTACCAGCTACTTGGGAGGCTAAGACACAAGAATTGCTCAAGTCTGGGAGGCGGAGATTGTAGTGAGCTTAGAGTGTACCACTGCACTCCAGCCTGGGCAATGGGAGAGAGAAACACTGTTTAAAAAAAAAAAGTGAGATTGGGGTGGGTAAAAAGGAAAATCTAAAAAGCTAGATTTGTCAGAGGTCCCAAGCAGAGGAATGGTGAGTTAGCAGCCTTGCCTAGATATGTATCTAAACCTTTATTTAAAATCATAGTCTCAGGGAACAAATAACTTCAGTCTACACAGGCACTGTCAAAGAGGAAGAAGAATCACATAAATATAGAAAAGTCAAGCCAGAGTGCCCACGTCAACCTCAGACACAGTAACAATGACTGAGTGATTAGAAACATATCAAACTTGAAAACTGTGTAGAGATAGCAGGAAAGCAAGGAACTCCACGCATGAAATGTGGTCCAAATCCATTCAGACAAGCAGGTAGATTTTCAACTGTATTGATCCTGATTACTGTCAGCATAATGTTTTCGCTCTCAGATCTTGAAGTATCTTGAAGTTTCTTGAAGTTTCTTCTAAGAGGTAGAAAAATAGAATTAACAGCAACATGCAAATCCTGTTTCCTTCTATGATTTTACCATGGAGGCTCTTTAATTTTTCGATCTATATTTACTGTATAAATAACTGCTTTTTATATGCAGATTTCCATTCAGTTGACCTCAATTACCTCTGTATTTGCATCCACCAAGAATTTCAGCAAAAAACCTAGGAATGGCCCTATTTAATGCTTATTCTTTTGAGTTGTGACTAGAAATTAGACAGAGGTGATTAAATAATTTAAGTCTTCTAGGTACCCAATGGATGTAGAGGGGAGAGATTTGCTTTCCTTGCTTATATCAGAGGCAAGTCAGCACCAAAAAAGAATTTCATTTTTACATAAGACTATTAAAGTGAGAAAGTGACTTATATATTGAGCCTATTTTGCAGCCAGTTCAATTCAAATCAGTTCTTATAGACAATTTGAACATCTACTACATGCTCACTGTTCAATTCCCAAAGCATGAAAATAAATAAAATGCAACCTTAGAAATTTAAAAGTTTTACTTTAGCTGCTGGATATAATATAGTGTCCAGGTTTTTGACAATAAAATATACTCGTACAAGTTGGGGAAAATTACTTTAACAAATACATTATTTAATAGATTTTAAGTAGTTTGATTTTTAATTGAATGATTATAACAGAAATGTTAATGAATTAACATGTTATCATTGCTTAATCTTTGCAACTATCTTATATAATACTTACTAATATTATTCCGTTTTATAAATTTAAAGAGATTAAAGTGGCTTTCTTCTGGTCACACAGCCGGCAGGGATAAAGGAAGTTAAGGCCTGACTTTAAACCCATGTTATCTGACTCCAGTTCTGTTGATATTGACTGAAACATTTTTTTCCCAAAAAGTATGTATTAAATGTCTACTATATGCAGACACAGTCCAAGGAACTTAAGATACATCTGTGAATAAAACAGATGAAAATATCTGCCTTCATGGAGCTTACCTTCTGTGGGGTCATGATATTAAACAAGAAACAAAAATAGGAATAAACAAATGAATGGTATGATATGTTAGATAATAAAAAGTGCAATGAAAATAGTATGTTGTTTTAAAGAAAATAGTTATATCAGACTTCATTGAAAGGAGAACCTATAAGCAAAGGTTTCAAGGATGGGAAAAATAAAGTCATATAGATATTTAGAGACTGAAGGATAGGAAAAATAAAGTCATATAGATATCTAGAGACAGAATATCTAGGGAAAAGAACAGTCACCACAAAGACTCCAAATAGGGCATTTGTTTGGAATATTTGAACAATTGCAAAAATTGAATGTGGACCAGTGTTGTGAAAGAAAGTAATAGTAGAGGAAGAAGCAAGAGAAACAACTAAAAGGAGACAAATAATGTAGGAACTTTTGGGCCACAGTATTGTCTTAATATGTTACTCAAAGAGCAACATGTAACCATTGGAGCATTTTTAGAAGAATGACATAATTTGCCTGATTGATCTGACTAATATGCTGAGAATAAGCTGTAAGGGAGTTTGTGTCATATTCCAGAATGCAGGCAAATGGCCACAGTGGTTTGGGTCAGGATAGGTGAGGAGACATTGTCAGAGTCAGTATTTATTTGAAAGTGAAGCCGACAGAAATTTTTTTTTTAATTTGTTTCTTTTTGTTCATTATTATTTTTTTACATTTTACTTTAAGTTCCGGGATACAAGTGCAGAACATGTAGGTTTGTTACACAGGTATACATGTGCCATGGTGGTTTGCTGCACCTATCAACCCGTCATCTAGGTTTTAAGGTCCATATTCAATAGCTATTTGTCCTAATGCTCTCCTTCCCCTTGCCCCCCAACCCACAACTGGCTCTGGTGTGTGTTGTTTCCCTCCCTGTGTCCATGTGTTCTCATTGTTCAGCTCCCACTTATGAGTGAGACATGCAGTATTTGGTTTTCTGTTCCTGTGTTAGTCTGCTGAGAATGATGGTTTCCAGCTGCATCCATGTCCTGCCAAGGACATGGTCTCATTCCTTTTTATGTCTGCACAGTATTCTATGGTATACATGTGCCACATTTTCTTTATCTAGTCTATCATTGATGGGCATTTGGGTTGGTTCCATGTGTTTGTTACTGTAAAGAGTGCTGCAATAAACATATGTGTGCCTGTGTCTTTAGAGTAGAATTATTTATATTCCTTTGGGTATATACCCAGTAATGGGATTGCTGGGACAAATGGTATTTCTGGTTCTAGATCCATGAGGAATCGCCACACTATATTCTGGAATGGTTGAGCTAATTTACCTTCCCACCAACAGTATGAAAGCATTCCCATTTCTCCACAGCCTCATGAGCTTCTATTTTCTGACTTTTCAATAATTGCCATTCTGACTGCTACCATCAAAAAGTGGGCAAAGGACATGAAAAGACACTTCTCAAAAGAAGACATTTATGCAGTCAACATGAAAATTTGACTGATTGGTTTTGAGAAGAAGAATGGGAAAGGAAAGCTAATGTCGCAGTTTGGTTCCCAGCAATGAGAAGGATTGAGTTAGCATCAACTGAGATGGGAACATGTGCAGTTGGCCCAGCTTGCTTTTTTTTCCTTTTCCTTATTTTTCCTTCTCCTTCTCTCTCTTCTTCCACCTCTCTCTCCTTCCTTCCTTCCACCTTTCCTTCCTTCCACCTTTCCTTCCTTCCTTCCTTCCTTTTTTCTTTCTTTCTCTCTTTCTCTCTCTCTTTCTTTCTTTCTTTCTTTCTTTCTTTCTTTCTTTCTTTCTTTCTTTCGCAAGGAGAAGTAATGATCAGGAGTTCAATCTTAAATAAATTTAAGATTTAGAAGTAGAAATATGTTGGCCACTATATGTATGAGTTTGGAACGAGAGGTCTGAGATGAAGTTTCGGGAATCACCACATGGACTTATTTACATCATTTATAATATACAGCATTTAAATCCATAACATTAAATCAGATTACCAAAGGAGGGAATACAGATTAAATATGGAGTTCCTGAAATGAGACGGTGAGTCCCATTATGCAGTTGGGAGAAAAGAGGGACCAACATAAAGACTGAGCAATAGCAACAAGTAGATCAAATGAAAAAGCAAACAACAGCAATACAACGATTGCCCTGCGGGACTAAAGAAGATAATTTGCCAGGGAGAAGAATTATCAACAACATCAAAGATGACTATTGAACACTGAATATTGGATTTAGTTTATTGGTGACAGTGAAAAAGCCATTTCAGTCAAGGGATGAGAGTGGAAGGCTGAGTGGTATGGAATCAGGAGAGATATGGAGGAAGAAGAATGAAATCTGAAAATATAAATGCATCTTTCAAACTATTTAATTGTCATGAGACCCAAAGAAATAGATAGTAGTTGTATGGGGAAGTGGTATCAAAATAAGCTGGTTTGTTTGTTTATAATGATAGAAATATAGCATTTTGTATAATGAAGGAAAGGATTTAATTGAGAAGTGAAAAAAAATGTTGTAAGAAAGACAGGGAGGAATTGCTGCGGCAATGTCCTTGAGATGCTGAGGGATGCAATCAAGTTTACAAATATTCATTTTAAATAGGAATGTGAAATGCTAATCTATAGAAAGAGACAGAAAGGCAGAGCATGGCAATACATCTGTAGTTAGATGTTCTTGTAGGAGCCTGTGAATGTACTCTTTTGTTTACTTAATTTTGCAAAGTAACAATCACAATGGGAGTGAGGATGTGGTGCGAGGTATTGATGAGAAGAGCAGAATGGAAAGAGTCGTATCTGAGTGTGGGTCAGTCAGTGCAACAGGGAGCTACAGTATGATTGCAGAACAGCATGAAATGATTTTAAACCTCAACGTTAAGTACTTGGTTTATGATCAGGAATTTAAAGTGGGAAGAGTTATTGTTGCTAGTTTTCCCACAGCTTCATTAAGCTGCCTGGGTGCAGGAATAAAGTAGGCACACAGGGCTGGGTTTAAATAGGGTTGTGGTTTTCTTAGGTGAGTGTGATGAAGAATGAGAGAGGCAGACAAGTTGAGGTATAAGTCAGACAGTTATTATAATGATTGATCATGGAATTAAAACTTGTTAAGGACAGAAGAAGAAAGAACATCAATGGGTTGAGTGACAGCAAAAAGCCAAGAGAAGCATGTAAATGTCACCCTGAGAGAGGAAGCTTACTGGAATCCAAGAAGGTGGTGATTAGAGAGAAAATGGATAGAATAAAGATACTGAAGCGCTGAAATTTTTAGATTGACAAGGATATGACACTGGCTGGGAGAGGCAGAGTTGGGGTAAAGGTGACGATGGAATAGAGTTCAATGAATTAGAATTCTGGAAGAGTCATCTTGGTATATTAAAATCACTAAAAATTTTTAGAAAGAAATGTATGAGAGTGATCCAAAAAACTAAATAAGAAACACCTACTATGAATCTAATCATTGCATTTTTAATTACTGAGTTTGCTGAAGAGAAAGATATATTCCTTACATTCCTATAGAAATGTAGAATTAGAAAAGACAATATCAATAGCAACTTCGTGCCTAAAGGCTTACCTGATTTTTAAAAATATGTAACTGCACTCCTGCTACATTTCTTGAAGTATCTCTAATATTATTTTCAACTGTGCTTTCCTGAGCCATCAGCCTTTTTATAGTTCAAATAGTTTCCGCATCATTTAATAGCTTGCTATGAATGACTCTGCTTTTGTAACCTGTTTAGTTAAAAACGGATGCTGCTTATTTATTTCAGTTCTCAGGTGCTTAGTTTCTTGCTTCCACAGCTGCTTTTTGCTCGCCTCACCTCTCTGATGCTGTCAGCAAGAGAGCAAGGCTAAAATGGAAAACACACAGAGTTCATGTTCACACTCCTTTTTCTTGAATCCTGGCTTATTTCCAGCCACCTACTCCCTTGTTGCAGTTCACAGTAACTCAATCTCACTCTACATGAAGAAAGTAGATTTTCCAGTTTAATTTAGAGTATATAAAATTAGAATAAGAAGCACCATACAATTAAAAAAAGAGAAAACCTTAGCCAATCTAATAAAAGCGACTGACACCTCAGAGAGCAAATAAGAGACTCACATCTTGTTCCATCGTGTTCTATTTCATTCCAAAAATGAGGCCCTGCTGCAGATATCACTTCTTTATTGGGAAATAAGTTTTCCTTTCCAGAAGCACAACAAAAAATGATACGTGGTTGACAAGCTGCCCAATAACCCATAGATACTTTCTGCCAAGAACTTTATGCAAGGCAGTCTAATACTATCACGGCTCAGGATTCCATGTACTGTAAGATTGAGGAGCATTTTTGGAGAGCTTCCTAAAAATATAGAGATGTGATGTTTAATATATGTGGCCAATTTCTATTCCCAGCAAGTTCCCCAATAACCTGGCTTGATCATTTTGCATTCTAAAATACATAGCAAATCCTCAAGGGTAATTCATAATAAATTTCTCAGCTCAAATCAATAAAATATATTTTAAAATATTCTACTCTCTCATTTCTTAATTTTGCATAGTTTCAGCTGTGGTTCTATATTTGTCTACCTACAAAATAATAGGACTCTTTGTATCTGTCTTTTGGCGTACACTTTGAAAGGATGAATTGTATAATATGTAAATGATGTCTTAATAAAGCTGTTTTAAAAATAATAGGACTCTCTTTGTGACTTTTCCCCCAAATATTTTCCTGTGCTTTGTTTTTGTACCATTTGCTTGCACCAGAGCAGTTTGTATGCCTTTTCTCTAGTTTTATACATCAGCCAAAATTCTAGCCTTTTAAATAACTTTTTGTATCTATGTCCTTAGAAAAACTTTCTTCTGACAATAACACTATGGCATATTTTATATTATCTGATTTAATTGTTCTCCTTCCCTGAGAAAACTACTCAAAAATATGATATAAACTTTACTTCCATGTATTCAAGAGAAGAAGGCTCATGATGCAATGATTGTTTTCTTTGCTTAGTTATTCTCTCAGTACTATACCTAGCATTTGGATGAAAAGCTAAAACTAGAGGCTGAATATTCTCTTTCTGACTTCTTGGCTTTGGTAGAGAAGAATAGACTGTGCTTTTTATAAAAGAGGTAAAGTTAATAAAATTAGAAAGACATTATCAAGCATACATGTACGTACGTGCAATACATGCGTATATTTCTTTTCCTGTGTGGTGGGTAAAAAGTGACCCCGTCCCGGCCGGGTGCGGTGGCTCACGCCTGTAATCCCAGCACTTTGGGAGGCCGAGGCGGGCGGATCACGAGGTCAGGAGATGGAGACCATCCTGGCTAACATGGTGAAACCCCGTCTCTACTAAAAATACAAAAAAATTAGCTGGGCGTGGTGGCGGGCGCCTGTAGTCCCAGCTACTCGGGAGGCTGAGGCAGGAGAATGGCGTGAACCCGGGAGGCGGAGCTTGCAGTGAGCTGAGATTGCGCCACTGCACTCCAGCCTGGGCGACAGAGCGAGACTCTGTCTCAAAAAAAAAAAAAAAAAAAAAAGTGACCCCGTCCCAAGTGTTTTGATTCATTTTGCCTACCCTCCAACAATAGTACAAAAAGAAAGAGATAAACTCTTTTTTTTATGTTGTCTAACTATAGCTATTTATAAATTAGAAGTTATTTCTTCATACAATTAGAAAGACAGATAACTAAAGAGTTAACGGTCAAGATATGAGTTGATAAAAATATCACTTTGGGGTCACAGACTATTAGTAGTAAATCCCTACAAGCCACTGTGGGAAGAGAGGATCTTCTCTCTGGTCATCCTTCTGCTGCATCCCCTTGACTCGGTGAAGAGAAGAGAAGCCATTCATTCTCTATCCTAAATTTGACTTCGGCTGCGACTCACCAGAGCAAGAGCCAGATCCTTCTTCTCTTTTCATTTTCTTCTACACAATATATCAGTAGTGTTCCAACTTCACACTCTTTTATTTACAAATTTATTTGGAATAGGTGAGGGAGAGAATAATAGTTTTTACCTACTGGAGAGGAAGGAGCTATATGTTGTGTTCATATTATGTGAACTGTGTTTGGGATAGAAGATGGCTTCAGTTCTGTACAACTAAGTTAACTAGCTAATTTTTTTTTAATTTGAGGCTGTATGTAATTTCAAAATATATATGCTCCTATTTATAAATACATCCATATATCTTACTGATAATTGCATTCTAGCTTGTTATTTTTTAAAAATCTATAAGTATTTTAGAGGTAGAAGCCAACTATTTAACTTCTATGTATTCAGCAGGCACTAGATAGCATTTATGGAACACATTCAGTAGTACACATTAATATTATTATCTTCTGTTGTTTTAATATCTGAATGATGGAGTAGTTTGACTTTAAAATATATCAATTTGTATAAATCTCCATTAACATAACCGTTTGATGGATATATTTGTTATCTATTGCTGCATAACAAATTATCGTATGACTTTGGAGCTTAAAACAATCTATATTTATTATCTCTCATAAAGTCACCCAGGGTCAGCAATGTGGGAGTGGCTGAGCTGAAGTCTTCTGGCTCAAGTCTCTCATGAGATGTCCGTCAAACTATGTATTGGTGCCACAGTCATCCCAAGGCTAATCTAGGATGTGAGAATCTGCAAGTTCACTTACATGTCTTTTGGCATGCATCAGTTTCTGCATGACTGTTCACTAGAGGGTTCAGTTCCTCCTCATGTGAGTCTCTTTACAGGGCTGCTGACAACAAGGCAGCTTACTTTTTACAGAGAAGGACAGAGAGAGAGAGAGATTCCAAAATGGAGAACATAGTCTTTTATAACACAAACTTAGAAGTAATATCCTATGACTTCGTTCATATGCTATTAACCACACAGATCAAATGCAGTACAGTGTGGGAGGGCACTGTGCAAACCTATAAATACCAGGAGGTGGACATCATGGGGCCATCTTGAAGAAAGGCTTCCACAATCAGGTATGCAAATAGACTAGTTCTGTTAACTTTTGAAATTAAAGAATTTGTACTTATGAAAAAATAGCAAAATTAAACTTTGTGTATTCATGAATAAACAAATATTATAAATTGACCTAGAACCACTTTTAAAGTTAAATCTATTTAGATGTAATGTGTATATTTATTTAGCATGCAATAAATTTTAAAGTATTAATTCTAAATGTTTTTAATGCAAATTACTTACTTATAAATCATTAAAATATAGTTATATAAAGTTTAGATGCTGGACATGGAATCTAGATGACTCAAGTTATTTCTATCAAGAGCAAATTATAGGCCAGGTGCAGTGGCTCATGCCTGAAATGCCAGCACTTTGGGAAGCTGAGGTGGGAAGATTGCGTAAGTCAGGGGTTCAAGATCAGCCTGGGCAAAATTAGCAAAATCCTGTCATTACAAAAATTTAAAAAAAATATATACTAGCCAGGTGTAGTGGCACACACTTGTAATCCCAGTTAACTACTCGGGAAGCTGAGGCAGGAGGATCGCTTGAGCCCAGGAGTTCAAGGCTGCAGTGAACTATGATTGTGCCACTGTAGTCCAGCCTGGGTGACAGAGCAAGACGCTATCTCTAAACAACAACAACAAGTAAATTATAAAATTTAGATAATTGTGAATTCTAGCATTTATACTACCCCCTGTTGCAAAATTAGCAAGCTGCAATGAGATTATATGTATACACACACACACACACACACACACACACACACACAACACAACACAGAGTTGTTTGAAAAAGACCAAAGATGATGCAAATAAAATAACAGTATTCTGCTATTTAATTCTAATGATAAAAAGGAAAAATTGCAAAATGCTAGAAGAAAATACAAACCATCAAATTTTGCATAGTATTTGCCTCTTATCAAGATATTTTAGAAAAGCACTTGATTTTAAAGAACACAATAAGAAGTTATAAATTGGATAAATATTTTAACATTTAAATTATTTTTATCCTTATTAAAATTCTGAACAAAAATTAAAATCTTATTATTGGGAAAGATGCTGAAATAGTAAAGATTTCCACTGTTCTGTGTGGGATCCTAGTCTCCAACTGTTTCATTCTCATCCTTTTTGTTAAACACATATTATCTAATCGTTGCTACATGGCAATTCTGGTTTTGCTGCATTTGCTATACCCCAACTTGGGGTTAATGAAATCTATCTTTCCCTACATCTTCTGAGGATATGACTTGTGAATAATCTTAAGAACAAACTAAACCTTGACTGATATACTCCAATCTATCCTATTTTCTCCCCTCACAACACACTCCTTTGCTGATCTCATATTGCAGCATTTTATTACAGGCTTGAACTAATGGCTTTTGATATTTTCTTATCCTACTGTACTCAGTGTTCATAGTAACATACACATATTAGATGCAACTCCATCACATATCATATACACACGTGCACATACAATAGGTATATGAAGTTCAGTGTCAAATATATCTAATCAATTCTCTCCTTTATCATTAAATAATGACATTCTTTTTACATAATAACATTTTAACCAATAGCTAAATAATGTCTCTGCAAAAACTTACTTTTGTCAATTACCCTAAAATGCCTTTCTGGTACACTTAACTCTCAATTTTTCTGAACTGTTTTGTTTTACTGATTAAAAAAAATTTGTAATCTGAAATTTCTGGGTTTCTATTGCATATTTAATTTTTGTTATTATCTAGTACCATACTGCTGTCTTTCTGATCTGTTTGAACTGAACTGCATCACTTTGAACAAAGTTTCCTTTTGCCATGCTTTTTATTTGCTTTAGTTTTGGTTTTCCTTCTTCCATAGTATTCATGTGTGTTTGTCTGTGTGTGCATCTTTTTGGCTTCTCTACTGCTTTAGACATTTACATTATCTTTCTGTTATCTAAGTGGCTATGGTTAAATTTTTAAACAGGCATAATTAATTCAACAGAAACATTCAAAATTAATATGTTATCTTCTCCCTAACAAGCACCTAAAATTTTTTAATCTGATATTGCTATCCTTTGTTTGCTAACCTTTTAAAAATGTTTTCAAAATTATCATTATTATATATTTAGTCAATATTTATAGATATGCAACCACATGATTACCAATTTTTTTGATTCAACATTGCTAGTAACATACATATTGTAATTTCTGCCTTCAATTTTCATTTTCTGAGGTTCATGTTTAATTAAGTCTCTGTGCAATACTGTGTCCATAATAAATTATTTCTCTTTCTGAAAGTTTCTTTAATTTTTCTATCACGCCAGCATAATAATTCAACTGTGTATAATTTTCAGTTTATAATATCATCTCAGCCATTTCATGACTAAAATTTATTTTTTACAAGCTTTACTTGTAAAAAAAAGCTTTACTTGTTGATGATAAGAGGTTAGTTATCAGTCTAATTGTAATTATCATCATAAATCTTTGATATATTTTAATTTTTTTTTTGCATCTGGTGTTGTACTTTTACTATACAATGTTTAAAAGAGGATGTAATTTTATTTTACCTTTTAAAGACTGTTATAATTTGGACCTGTGTCCCCATTAAATCTCATGCCGAACTGTAATCCCCAGTATTGGAGGTGGGGTCTGTTGGGAGGTGATTGGATCATGTAAGCGGAGTTCTCATGAATGGGTCAGCACCACCCTGTTGGTGCTATTTTCCTCGTAATGAATAAGTCAGTTATCATGAGATCTGGTAGTTTAAAAGTGTATGGCATCTCCCTCCTGTCTTTTCTCTTCTTCCTGCTCCTGCCATGTGAGGTGCTTGCTCCTCCGTTGCCTTCCACCATGATTGAAAACTCCCTGAGGCCTCCCCAGAAGCTGACCAGAAGCCACTATGCTTCCTGTATAGCCTGGGGAACCATGAACCAAATAAACCTCTTTTCTTTATAAATTACTCAGTCTCAGGTATTTCTTTAGAGCAGAGTGACAAAGACATTTCACAAAGTCTTTATAGGAGTACAAAGACATTTTAATTTTTTTATCCTTTCTACTGAAGATAATGTATTCAATTGTATTGCTGGGTCACCAATGTGGTTTTCAGCTATTTATTTTAACAATTGAGTTTTCAGTTCCAATAACGATATATTTTCTTCTCTGGTTATTCTACTTGTTTCTTTTCTTTTTTTTGAGACGGAGTTTCACTCTTGTTGCCCAGGCTGGAGTGCAATGGCACAGTCTCAGCTCCCTGCAACCTCTGCCTCCTGGGTTCAAGCAATTCTCCTGCCTCAGCCTCCCAAGTAGCTGGGATTACAGGCATGCACCACCACGCCTGGCTAATTTTGTATTTTTAGTAGAGATGGGGTTTCTCCATATTGGTCAGGCTGGTCTCAAACTCCCAACCTCAGGTGATCTGCCCGCCTTGGCCTCCCAAAGTTCTGGGATTACAGGCGTGAGCCACCGCGCCCAGCCCTCTACTTGTTTCTTTATAAAATCTGATTTATTGTTTTTTAATGTCTTTCTCTCGTTATGGTATAACTTTCTTTTATTGTCTCTTTAACACATTTACACTTACACATTTTATGCTTTACATTTATATTTTGGGGACACCAGCATTTGTGTTTCTAACGTCCCTTTAATCTCATTATTATTATTGTTTCTCATGTGATATAACTTTGTTGTTGTGAGCTTAGCTTCAGATACATTTCTTCCCCCTATGGAGTCTCTCTAAAAAAGGGGTGGCATCATCCAAGTGGCTGGCTTTTGCACTGATACACTGTATTGTGCCACTCTGGACAGCACACATCCAGTGACTGGCTTTTGCAGGGGTATAAAGACCTAGAACCTTTGCTTCAATTTTGGTCAATTCCAAAATGCTATCTCAACCTCTGATGCAAATGCATCGTGGTTCAACTTCTGCCTCTGACAAATTTTGCTTCCCTCAATATCTCATAGGTATAATTTCTGAGAGCATTCTTCCATAATATCTTGTGCACATATTCTACTGTTAAGTCCCCAAACCCAACCCCCAGGACACCTGACCTAAGTCAGTTGAGAAGTGGTGAGAAGTGTTTTGAAAGTCCTCTGAAATAGGACTTTAGAGCTGAATTACTGCTGGTTAGAAGACAATGAGATTTCTATCATTAGTGATAGTGGGGTATGTGCAGCTTTTGCATGCCATATCAGTGCATTTGGAAAAGACTTTCACAAGTAGTGAACTGGGATAAAGTATTGGTGGATGGCAATATACTGGTGGGTACATTATCTCAGAGATTTAATAGTTTGGGACATGTCAATTTAAATTTATATTTTGTAACATCATATGACTCTCCCTGCATGTCATTAAAATAATGGAGAAATATATTGAGGGGTGAGGGCAATTGCTCAAGAATAAGGCAAACTGTAAAAATCATAAGGCCTCCATATCAGTATATAAAAAGACTTTCCTCTTTGCAGCTCAAATTCAGGGAAAGCAAGAACTAGACTTTATTAGGCTCCTTAGAATGTCAAATTCTAAATTCTTCAGTTTTTATTTTGTAAAGATTAGGGGTCTGGTTTAGAAGGAAA